>NC_000004.12:117709259-117860774 GCF_000001405.40 Homo sapiens
AGGCCAGCATATCACTTGAGGTTGGGATTTCGAGACCAGCCTGACCAACATAGAGAAACTCCATCTCTACTAAAAATACAAAAATTAGCTGGATGTGTTGGCACATGCCTGTAATCCAAGCTATTTGGGAGGCTGAGTAAGGAGAACCACTTGAACCCAAGAGGCAGAAGTTGTGAGAGGTTGTATGAGAGGCAGAGCTGAGATTGCGCTATTGCACTCCAGCCTGGGCAACAAGAGCAAAACTCCATCTCAAAAAAAAAAAAAAAAAGAAAAAGAAAAAGGAAAGTAAAGAAAAACCACAAGAGATTGGGGGCTAATACTTCTTAAAGAAAATAATTTCCAACCCAGAATTTAATATCCAGCCAATGTAAACTTCATAAATGAAGGTGAAATAAAATCCTTTTCAGATATGCAAATGCTGCCTTGCAAGAGCTCCTGTAGGAACCACTATATGTGGAGAGAAAAAAAAAAAAAAAAAAGACCAGTGACACTATAAAGCAACCACATTAAAAAGTCTGCAAAATAATCATCTAGCATCATGATCATAGAATCAAATTCACACATAAAAAAAAACTAACCTTAAATGTAAATTGGCTAAATACTCCAATAAAAAGACACGGACAACAATCTGAATAAATAGCCAAGACCCATTGATATACTGTCTTCAAGAGACTCATCTCATGTGCAAAGACATACATCAGTTCAAAATAAAATAATGGAAGAAAATTTACCAAGTGACTGGAAAACAGAAAGAAGCAGGGCTTGCAATCCTAGTTTCTAACAAAACAGACTTTAAATCAACAAAAATCAAAAAAGACAAAGAAGGTCATTCCATAATGGTAAAGGGTTTAATTCAACAAGAAGAGCTAACTATTCTAAATATATATGCACACAATACAGGAGCACCCAGATTCACAAAGCAAGTTCTTAGAAACCTACAAAAAGACTTAGACTCCCGCACATTAATAGTGGGAGATATTGCACTCCACTGATAATATTAAATAGATCATCAAGACAGAAAATTAGCAAACATATGCAGGACATGATTTTAACTCTGGAACAAGTGGACCTGATAGATAGCTAGAGAACTCTTCACCCAAATTCAATAGAATATACATTCTTCTCATGGCTACATGGCACTTACCCTAAAATTGATCACATAATCGGAAGTAAAACACTCCTCAGCAAATGCGAAAGAACTGAAATCATAACAAATAGTCTCTCAGACCACAGTGTAATCAAATTAGAACTCAAGATTAAGAAATTACTCAAAACCAAACAACCACATGGAAATTGATCAACCTGCTCCTGAATGACTCCTGGGTAAATAATGAAATTAAGGCAGAAACCAAGAAGTTCTTTGAAACTAATGAGAACAAAGAGGCAATATACCAGACTCTCTGGGACGCAGCTAAAGCAGTGTTAAGAGGGAAATTTATAGCACTAAATGCCCACATCAGAAAGCTAGAAAGATCTCAAGTTAACAACTTAACATCTCAACTAAAAGAACTAGAGAATAAAGAACAAATGAACCCCGAAGGTAGAAGACAAGAAATAACAAAGATCAAAACTGAACTGAAAGAGATAGAGACACAAAAAAAACCTTCAAAAAAATAACAAATCCAAAAGCTGATTTTTTGAAAAATTTAATAGACTAGATAGACTTCTAGCTACACAAATACAAAAGAAAAGGGAAGAATCAAATTAACCCAATCAGAAATGATAAGGTGGCTATCACTGCTGACCTCACAGAAATACAAACAACCATCAGAGAATACCTCTATTCATATAAACTAGAAAATCTAGAAGAAATGGGTAAATTCCTTGACACATACACCTTCCCAAGACTGAACCAGAAAAAAAATTGAAACCCTGAATAGACCAATAACAAATTCTGAAATTGAGGAAGTAATAAATAGCCTACCAATAAAAAAAAAAGCCAAGGACAATCAGATTCACAGGTGAAATCTGCCAGAGGTACAAAGAAGAGCTGGTACCATTTCTACTGGAAATATTCCAAAAAATTGAAAAGGAGAGACTCCTACTTAACTCATTCTATGAGGCCAGCATTACCCTGTTACTGAAACCTGGCAGAGATAAAAAAATAAATAAATAAATAGTCAGGTATTCAGGTCCATACCCTTGATAAACATTGATTCAAAAATCCTCAATAAAATACTGGCTAACCAAATCCAGCAGTACATCAAACAGTTTATCCACCATGATCAAGCTGGCTTCATCTCTGGGATGCAAAGTTGGTTCAACATATGCAAGTCAACAAATATGATTCATCACATAAACAAAACCAAAGACAAAAATGACATAATTATCTCAATAGATGGAGAAAAGGCCTTCAATAAAATTCAACATCCCTTCATGATAAAAACTCTCAATAAACTATTGAAGGAACATACTTCAAACTAAAAAGAGACATCTAAACCCAGAGCCAATATCATACTGAATGGGCAAAAGCTGGAAGCATTCCCCTTGAAAACCAGCACAGGACAAGGATGCCCTCTCTCATCACTCCTATTCAACATAGTACTGGAAGTTCTGGTCAGGACAATCAGTCAAGAGAAAGAAATAAAGGGTATTCGAATAGGAAGACAGGAAGTCAAATTATCTTTGTTTGCAGATAACATGATCGTATATCTAGAAAACCCCATCATCTCATCCAAAAAGCTTCTTAAGCTGATAAGCAACTTCAGCTAAGTCTCAGGATATAAATTCAAAAAGCAAAAATCGCTAGAATTTCTATTCACTAAAAACAGGCAAGCAGAGAACTAAATCATGAATGAAATCCCATTCACAATTGCCGCAAAAAGAATAAAATATTCAGAAATTTCAGAAATACAGCTAACAAGGGAAGTGAAGGACCTCTTCAAGGAAAACTACAAACCACTGCTCAAATAAATCAGGGAGGAAACAGACAAGTGGAAAAACATTCCATGCTCATAGATAGAAAGAATCAATATTGTAAAAATGGCCATACTGCCCAAAGTGATTTATAGATTCTACACCATTCCCATTAAACTACCGTTGATGTTCTTCACAGAATTAAAAAAAAAAACTACTTTAACCTTCACATGTAACCAAAAAAGGGCCCGTATAGCCAAGATAATACTAAGCAAAAAGAACAAAGCTGGAGGCATCATGCTACCTGACTTCAAACTATACTTATGGCTACAGTAACCAAAACAGCATGGTACTGGTGCAAGGACAGACACATAGACCAATGGAGCAGACTAGAAAACTCAGAAATAGGACTGCACACTTACAAACATCTGGTCTTCAACAAACTTGACAAAAGCAAGCAATGAGGAAAGCACTCTCTAATAAATGGTTCTAGGAGAACCGGCTAGTCCTATGCAGAAAACTGAAACTAGACCCCCTTTCTTGCGTCATATACAAAAATTAACTTAAGATGGGTTAAAGACTTAAATGTAAAACCCAAACTCTAAAAACCCTAGAAGAAAATCTAGGCAATGCTATTCAGAACATAGGCATGGGCAAAGATTTCATAAGTAGAATACCAAAAGCAACTGCAACAAAAGCAAAAATTGACAGTAGGATCTAATTAAACTAAAGAGCTTCTGGACAGCAAAAAAACTATCATCAGAGGGAACAGACAACCCACAGGATGGAAGAAAATTTTTTCAATCTATCCATCTTACAAAGGCCTGGTATCCAGAGTCTACAAAGAATTTAATCAAATTTACAAGAGAAGAAACAAACCCCATTAAAATGTGGACAAAGGACATCAACAGATACTTCTCAAAAGAAGACATTCATGTGGCCAACAAACATATGAAAAAAAACTCAACATCACTTATTAGTAGAGAAATGCAAATCAAAACCACAATGAGATACCACACACATTAAGACACCATCTCACAACAGTCAGAATGGCAATTATTAAAAAGTCAAAAAACGACAGATGCTGGTGAGGTTGTGGTGAAAAAGGAATGCTTTTACACTGTTGGTGGGAGTGTAAATTCGTTCAACCATTTGGAAGACGATGAGGCTATTCCTCAAAGACCTAGAGGCAGAAATATCATTTGACTCAGCATTCCCAATACTGGGTATATACACAAAGGAGTATAAATCTTTGATTCAACATTCCCATTACTGGGTGTGTATATATATATATGTATATATACACACACACAAAAGAATATAACTCATTCTATTATAAAGATACACTCATTTGTATGTTCATTGCAGCACTATTCACAATAGCAAAGACATGAAATCAATCTAAATGTCCTTCAATGATAGACTGGATAAAGAAAATGTGGTACATATACACCATGAAATACTTTGCAGCCATATAAAGAAACAAGATAATGTCCTTTGCAGAGACATCAATAAAGTAGGAAGCCATTATCCTCAGCAAACTAATGCAGGAACAGAAAACCAAATACCGCATGTTCTCACTTATAAGTGGGAGCTGAAGTATGAGAACACATGGACACGTGGAGGAGAACAACACACACTGGTGCTTGTCGGGGGTCCGGGGTTTTGGGGATGGTGAGCATCAAGAACAGCTAATTGATGCTGGGCTTAATACCTAGGTGATGGGATAATCTGTGCAGCAACTTACCACGGCATTTGAAATGAAAGAAATGAAAGTTTCTTATTTATGTAATAAACCTACACATCCTGCACATATACCCCTGAATTTAAAAGTTGAAGAAAAAAAAAGCACACCTTTTTAATGACAAAGCCAGTTATCAGCAAAATCAAAAACAAAAGATAAGCTGGAAAAAAATTTTGGCAATTTTTGCCCAAGACCTAATATATTTAATATTCAAACAACTCCCAAAGACCAATTTAAAATCTCAAAATCTAATAGAGTAATGAGTCAAATATAGAAATTGACAATTCACAGAAGAAATAAAATTATTGAAAGTTACTGATACCCTCACTCATGAGATAAATACAAATTCAAGTTATGCTATGATGTCATGAATCATATTGGTAAAATTTTTGATTTCAACAACATATTCTGTTGGAAAGCCAATAAGGAAATGGGCACCCTCATATATTGCTGGTAGAATTCAAAGTTATCTTTTTTAAAAAAGATTCTGTGGACATGCTTGACCCAGCAATGCATGTCAGGAGTTGATCCTGAATGCACACTGACAAAAATAAAAATTAACATACACATAAAATTAGATACTTAAGAATTATTTATACAATCAAAAATTAGAAACAACTCAAATGTTTAATAGGAGTCAGTTGAACAAAGTGTAACAAACCTATCAAACGATGTATTTTGTAGCTACAAAAGTAAGTAAAGACATTCTCTAAACCAATAGAGAATAACTCCAAGATACTTGAGTGAACAAAAGGAAGTTCCAGAACACTACATATTTTTCATAAGACAAGACACACAGAATTACACATAGATATGCATACATATTTGTTATATTAACAGAAATAATGGGGGCCAGGCACGGTGGCTCACGCCTGTAATCCCAGCACTTTGGGAGGCCGAGGCGGGCAGATCATCTGAGGTCGGGAGTTCAAGACCAGCCAGACCAACATGGGGAAACCCATACAAAATGGCGCATGTCTGTAATCTCAGCTACTCAGGAAGGCTGAGGCAAGAGAATCGCTTGAACCCAGGAGGCTTCAGTGTTTTGTTGTGATGAGGTTGTGGTGAACCGACATAGTGCCACTGCCCTCCAGCCTGGGCAACAAGAGCGAAACTCGGTCTTGAAAAAAAAAAAAAAAAAAGAATAAATCAAAAACTAACAAAAATAATTACTAGTGGTAAATGAGGAATGATGATAGAAAGAACTAAGAGATTTATGAATAAAGTTCTAATGAAGTTTTGGCATTGGAAACATAAAAATTTAACATATCCAAAAAATAAAATTAAATCATGAAGAAAAACTTAAAACTAAAAGCAAACAAACTTTCACTGCATATATGCAATTACTGATCATACAGAAAAAATAATCCGTTTGACTCTACTATAGATAATTTTCATCATATATATTTGGTGGAATATATTTTAAGGGCAACAGATCTACAAAGAAAAGATGCTTTGTAGCTTTATTACTGAACTAATATGGGTATTAATATTTTAATTAAAGTATACATATGCATATATAGAAAATACTATAAAATTATTTTAATATTAAAAATTAACCATTTCAATGTGAAAGATACAATTATAAAATTAAATTATGTAAAACTTCTGTAATATTTAATGTAAATTCAAAATACAACAGACATGCATACTTCATATTCCAGAACGTTTTCTAGTTCTTTCCATTGAAAAGGCATAAAAGCAGTAACAACTAATAGAATAAGCAACCTACTCCCCAGACTGTGATCTCTGTCACTTCTTACTAGAAGGAACCTGGACTTTTCAAAGACTGAGCAATTCAGAGAACATTCTCGTTTTGTTCGGTATATTTTATTTTGCCAGAAAGTGTCAAATTTAATGTAGTCCTGTCAAAAAGACACAGGAGCCAATGTGAAGAAGCTTCCAGTGGCCAAATCTGTAACAATAAAAATTGTGTGTATATATGTGTGTGTGTGTATTTATGTGTGTGTGTATTTGTGTGTGTTTGTATATATGTGTATATATACATGTATGTATCAAACAAAAAAATCCAAAACTCATTATACAGTATTATACAGTACAGTAGCAATTAGTACACTAACATTGTATTATGAACATTAGCAATTAAAAGAAAAGAATCATGTAGTTGTCCTACAATATTCTATATTTCATGGGCAACTGTATTTTCATTTGATGAGGGAAATAATTTTTATACAGAAAATTTCATCAAATAAGTAAGGAATGTTAGAGATTTTTTTTAAATCACCATTTTGCAGGTCTAATGGATCAATTGTTTCACACAGTTAACATCAATGATTAAAACCATTTTCTGAAGTTTGATGGGAGAATTCACATTGGAGGACCATATTGTCACTAATTAGTTTTGATTTTAATAAACATTGACCAGCACCACCCTCTGTGAAGTATTTTTACCAAAAAAGTGGATTCTGAGTCTAAACAAGTCTATAGAAGTAATTTCCATTTACAAAAATGATTGAAGATGACACCAAGGGGAAGCAAACAAATCCAGTGGCTGGGACAATAGCAAAGTGAAAGACAACTGTTAGTATTTGAACTTTGATTGTATCCTGATTCAAACAAATTAACTATAACAATCTTAAAATAGAAGAAATTTGATGACTCTATAATTTATTATTCTTCTCTCTCCTCTGTCTCCATATTAACCCATCACAAACTGTGCATACTTTATAATCATAAATCACAAAAGACCTTACATTTATGTGTACCAAAAACTCAATGATTTTTCAATATCTTTTAAGTTTATGGAAGGGAACTTGAGATACAAACATAAGTTATATTTGCTTAGCTTGTAATGTATGCCTCATTGATCCATTTTACTTTCCAGATTTGAATTTAATTCCTTCTAACCACCTTTCATAAAACTTTGGGAGAGATAATTACCAAGCAGTGGTCTTAAAATCACTGGCAGTTGTTTGCTGAATCCTAGTAACCTTAGTTATTCTTAAAAATTATTTTCCCCTACTGCTTATCACTGAATGGTTTAAACCTAGATATTTTTAAAACAACTAAGTAGCATAACTTTATTACTAAACTGACAAATTTTGATAAACTCAATAATGTCATAAAGACTAAAATTTATTGTTTAATTAAAATAATTAAGAAAATATATGTGGTGGATATTTCATCATGCTGAGCTTGTTGATTTGGTATTGTCTAGCAAGTCTCTGAAAATGCTATTTCGCCTGTAATTTTTAATGTCATCTTTAATACATATTTTATGGAAATCACACTATTTTTATAAACTCACCAAATTGATGCATCTTATTTTAACATTTAACAAAAAATCATACCTTTGATCACAAATAAAATGTAGAATATGAAATTTCCTATGTCCAGAAGTTTCTTCTTTATTACTTATGAAATAAGCTTCAAGGATTTTGAATACATAAAGATCAAAAGACATCACTGTCAACCATTTTAGACCTGTAGTCCTTATATTGTTATTTTAGAAAACTGCTTCTGGAAAGAAATTTTAAAGAATACTTTTCCACGTTATCTCAAAGCATAAAGATTTTGTTTACAAACATTTTCATATATTTTTATGCAAATAGTGCATTTTTTGATGTTTCATGTGCTAAAGGCAAAGAAGACATGTTTGGCCTCAGGCATTTTATTCCCACTGTAAGCTTTATAAAGACAGAAAATAATATATTGTAGTACCTTCAAAGAATTCTTGTAAAGAACTGTATGGTAAGCCTGTTCCTGTTTACAAAATTCTATTGTAGAAAAGCCCTTGCCCCCAAAGAGTTATTACTAGAAAGTTAATGTGAAAGATTTGTGGACTTGTGACTTTAATGAAGAAGTTTAAAATTTGGGGATATATTGATTACTGAACAAAAAGTATAGTGTAAAATATTTTAAAAAGCATCTAGCTAAAAAAATCACCTGATTCTACTCTTTAATAAAGGAAATATAATTTTAGGCAATTTAATACGTTTATATCCATATACACATAACATATATACACATATGTACATACCCACCATATACATCAATACACACCCTCAATATGTACATGTACATACACTATATGGGTTATACTCTGAAAATTAAAAAAAAATCTTACTTTTCCAGGATAATTTAAAATAATCATGCAATTAATCATTATTTTCAAGTTTGTATGTAATTGTGGTACAGAATTTTTATTTAAAAATAAACATTTCTAGAAGGGGCTTCAACATGGCACACTAGATGCATCTAGTTAATACCCAAATACTGAAGCACAACTTCCAAGGACCTGGGGATTGCCCAGCCCAAAATGGAACTGGTGAAACATGAGCACTCCTCCTGGGGTCTGAGGTCAGGCCCATTCAACAGGCTGCTACTACTGAAGCTGACACCCACCCACACATACTACCTGTGGGTTTGGGAACTTGTACTTCCAATCCTTCACAGCCATTGTCAACACCAGTGCAGACTGCTTGAGTTCCAAAGGATTGTCACACAAATGCTTCTGACATTGTCCACACCATGTCTACTTCCCAGGAGCTCAAGAACTTGCCCACCTTTATAACCCACCATTTCCATTCTGGCACCCAAGCAAGCCACCTGGAGGCCCAAGAATTGTTCTGCCAATAACCACCACCACTGGTGTCAGTGAAAACTGCCCTGGGGCAGAAGAATAGTCAGTCTTAGCCCACTGTTCTCGCCACTAAGGCCTGAAGACTGGAACACTTGGTTTCCTAGTCCCCAACAAAATTTCACCAGAATCTCTGCTGACAACCACACCCTAAACCACTGAGAAAATTACAGACACCATTGACACTCTTTAGAGTAAAGAAATTATACAAAGACTACACTACTGCATGCATCCAAAATTACAGCTAAAGTACCCTACCCAACCAACACCATAGCTCCATCTTCAGGAAAAAGTCCTCCCCTACAAACTCAAATTCAGAAAACTTTAAGAAGCAACTGTTACACCACAATGCACAGATATCAATGTAAGGACAAAACAAACATGAAAAAGCAAGGAAATTTAACATCTCCAAAGGAACACAATAATTCACCAACAACAGAAACTAATCAAAAGGATATTTACAATATCTCATAAAAAAGAACTCAAAATACTAATACTTAAGAAGCTCAGTGAGAATTCCTATACCTAGAAACAAAAAATAATAATAAACACCATACTGAAAATACACAAAAATATAATTACCACTGGTACAGCAAGAACACACCCAAGAAAAATACAAAACTCAAATGTTAGCACTACAGAATACAACCAAATCACAAAGAAAAACAGTAAAAGAGAAAATAACAATGGATATGTAAAGCAATCAGAAATCAGCTAGTAAAATGACAAGAATAAGCCCTAACATATCAATAATAACCTTGAATGTCAACAGCTTAAACTTTCTGCTAAGAGATACACACTGGCTGAATGAAAAAAAAAATCAAGTATATGCTATCTGCAATAAACTCATATTATTGGGTAAAGACACACAGACCCAAAACAAAGGGATGGAAAAAGATATTCCATGCAAATGGAAACCAAAAGTGAGCAGGAATACCTATACTTATATAAAACAGACTTTAAATAAAAAATACAACAGAGATAAAATCATGTGTAATGACAGATCAATTCGGCAAAAGTATACAAGAATTCTAAATATATATGTAATCAACACAAGAGAAATCAGATAGATAAAGCAACTGTTATTAGAATTGAAGACAAAGATAGTCTCAAAGTCAATTATAGTTGAAGACTATATTAGACAGATATTAGACAGATCAGTTAGAGAGAAAATTAACAAAGAAACATTAGATTTAATTGCACATTTGACCAAATGGACCTAACAGCTATGTACAGAACATATCATACAACAACTCTACAACACATTTTTCTCATCAGAAGGTGGAACATTCTCCAGGATAGACCACATGTTAGAACACAAAGTTAAGTCTTAACAAATTTTTGAAAAGCAATATCATATTGAGTATCTTCTCAGACAACAATGAAATAACAATGAAATAAAACTAAAAATCAATAAGAGGAATTTTTGAACTGTACACATTTATGAAAATTAAACAATATGCCCCTGAACAACCACTGGGTCAAGGAAGAAATTAGGGAAAAAAACAAAAAATGTCTTGAAACAAATGAAAATTGAAACACAACATACCATAACCTACGGGTACAGCAAAAGCAGTGCTAAGAAGCAAGTTTATAGCAATAAACACCTAACTCATAAAGAGTAGAAAGATTACAAATAATCTAAAAATGCACCTAAAGGAACTAGAAAATTAAGAATAGGCCAATCCAAAATTAGTAGAAAGAAAGAAATAATGAAGATCAAAATAGAACTAAACAAAATGGAGTGTTTAAAAAAATACAAAGGATCACATAGTAAAAAGTTGTTTTTTTGAAAAGATAAAACAGATAAACCAATTATTAGACTAACCAAGTAAAACAGAGTAAAGACCTGATATGGTTTGGATTTCTGTCCCTGCCCAAATCTCATATCTAGTTGTAATCTCCAATGTGGAGTGGGGCGCCTGGTGGGAGGTGATAGTGAGTGAGTTTTCACGAGATCTGGTTGTTTAAAAGTGTGTAGAACCTCCTGCTTTTCTCTCTTCCTCCTTCTCCAGCCATGTGAGATATGCTTGCTTCCCTTTCACCTTCCACTATGACTGTAAGTTTTCTGAGGCCTCTGCAGCTGTGCTTCCTATATAGGTTGCAGAACTATCAGTCAATTAAACCTCTTTCCTTTATAAATTTCCTTTATAAATTACTTTCCTTTATAAATTTCCTTTATAAATTTCCTTTATAAATTACTTTCCTTTATAAATTTCCTTTATAAATTTATAGCAATGCAAGAATGGACTACTACAGAAAACTGGTACTAGGAGTGGGGCTATAAAGATAGCAGAAATGTTGAAGCAGCTTTGGAACTGGGTGACAGGCAGAGGTTAAACAATTTGGAGGGATCAGAAGATACAGGAAGATGTGGGAAAGTTTGGAACTTCCTAGAGACATGTTGAATGGTTTTGTCTAAAATGCTGATGGTAATATGCACACAGATGGCAGGCTGATGAAGTCTTACATGGAGATGAGAAACTTATTGGGAACTTGAGTAGAGGTCACTTTTGTTATGCATCAGCAAAGAAATTGGAGGCATTGTGCCCTTGCCTTAGAGATCTGTGAAACTTAAACTCGAGAATGATGATTTAGGGTATCTGGAGGAAGAAATTTCTAAGCAGCAAAACATTCAAGATATGGCCTTGTTGTTTCTAACAATGTATGCTCATATGCATGAGCAAATAGATGCTCTGAAAGTGTATCTTATATTTAAAGGGGAAGCAGAGCATGAAAGCTTGGGAAATTTGCAGCCTGACCATATGGTAGAAAAGAAAAACCCATTTTCAAGGTAGGAAATCATGCTGACTGCAGAAACTTGAGTAAGTAAAAAGAAGCTGAATGTTAATAGTGAAGACAATGGGGAAAATGCCTCAAAGGCATTCAGAGACCTTTGTGACAGCCCCTCCCATCACAGGTCCAGAAGCCTAGGAGGAAGAAATGGTTTCAAGGGTCTGGCCCTGGGCCCCACTGCCCTGCACAACCTTAGGACAGTGCTCCCTGTGTCCCACCCACTCCAGCTCATCATGGATAAAAGGCCCCCAGATAAGTCTAAGGCCACTGATCCTGAGGGTGAAAGCCATAAGCCTTAGTGGCTTCCACATGGTGTTAAGCCTGCAGGTGCACAGAGGGTAAGAATTGAGGCTTGGGAGCCTAAGCTAGATTTCAAAGGATGTAATGGAAACACCTAGATGTCCAAGCAGAAGTCTGCTTCAGGGGCAGAGCCCTTATAGAAAACCTCTCCCCACAGAGTCCCCACTGGGGTATTGCCTAGTAGAGCTATGAGAAAAGGGCTACTGTGCTCCAGACTCCAGAATGGTAGATCCACCATCAGTTTGCACTGTGCACCTAGAAAAGCCATAGGAACTCAATGCCAGCCCATGAAAGCAGCCAAGAGGGCTGTACCCTGCAGAGCCACAGAGGGTGAGATGTCCAAGGCCTTGGGGAACCCATCCCTCACCTCAGTGTGGCCTGGATGTGAGACATGGAGTCAAAGGAGATTATTTCGGAGCTTTAAGATTTAATGACTGCCCTGCTGGGCTTCAGACTGGCATGGGGCCTGTAGCCCCTTTGTTTTGGCTAATTTCTCCCTTTTGGATCAGGAGTGTTTAGCCAATGCCTGTATTCCCATTGTAACTTGGAAGTAACTAATTTGTTTTTAATTTTACAGGCTCATAGGCAAAAGGGACTTGACTTATCTCAGATGAGATTTTGGATTGTGGACTTCTGAGTTAATGCTGAAATGAATTAAGACTGGGGGACTGTTTAGAAAGGATAGTTGTATTTTGCAATGTGAGAAGGACATCAGATTTAGGAGGAACCAGGGGCAGAATAATGTGGTTTGAATTTGTGTCCCACCCAAATCTCATGTCAAATTGTAATCCCTAATGTTGAAGGAGGGGCCTGGTGAGAGTTGATTTGATCATGGGGGTGGATTTCCCCCTTGCTGTTCTCATGATAGTGAGTTCTCATGAGATCTGATTATTTGGCTTCACTGTCATATTCTATCAAACTTTCAATGAGGGGGTAACACCAATTCTCCTCAAAGGATTTTTTAAAATTTAAACAGAAGGGAATTCTCCCTAAATCATTTTATGTGGTTAGCATTACCCTGATACCAAAATCAGGCAAGGACATTAATTAAAAATAAACAAGAAAACTACAGGCCAATATTCTTTATGACCATAGATGCAAAATTTCTCAATAAAATACTATCAAACTGGATAAAAAGACACATCAAAAAAAAATACACCATGATCAAGTGGATTTATGCCAGGGATTTAACATATGCAAATCAATAAACATGATATATCACATCTACAGAATGAAGGATGAAAAACACGTGATCATCTTATTAGACACAGAAAAAGATTTGATAATATTCAATATCCCTTCATGATAAAACATCTTGATGAACTGAGCATTGATGAAAGATACCTCAAAATAACAAGCTCACACCTAATGTGATACTGAATGGGGAAAAGTTAGCAGCCTTTTCCCTAAGAACTGGAACAAGACAAGTGTGCTGACTTTCATCACTCTTATTCAAAATAGTAATAAAAGTCCTAGCCTAAACAATCAGCCATGAGGAATTTAAAAAAGCATTCAAATTGGGGAAGCAGAAGATAAACTGTCTCCCTTTGCCTATGTTATTACCTTGTATCTAGAAAAACCTAAAGACTCCAGCAAAAAACTCTTGGATCTGATAAATGATTTCATCAAAGTTTGCAAGATACAAAACCAACATACAAAAACCAAAAATGTTTCTATACACCAATAATGAACGAGCTGAGAATAAAAGCAAGAAAGCAATCTCATTTACAATAGCTACAAAAAAATACCTAAGAATTAATTTAACTAATGAGGTTTAGAAAGAATAACGATAAAACAATGATTAAGGAAATTGAGGAGGACACGAACAAATGGAAAGAGATTTCATGTTCATGAATAAGAAGAATTAATATTGTTAAAATTACCATACTGCCCAAAACAATTTACACATTCAATATAATCCCTATCCAAATACCACGTTAACTTTCACAGAAATACAAAATACAATTCTAAAATTCATTTGGAACCAAAAAAGAGCTTGAATAGCCAAAGCAATCCTGAGAAAAATGAACAAAATCGGAGTAGTCACACGACATGACTTCAAATTATACTACAAGACTACAGTAACCAAAAAAGCACAGTATCAGTGGTTAAAAAAAAAAAAAAAAACCACCACCAACAACAAAAAGACATAGATCAATGGAACAGAATTGAGGGTCTAAATATAAATCAATGTATTTATAACAACTGATTTTTGACAAAGACACCAAGAACACACACTGGGGGAAATGACACTCTTTTTAGTAACTAGTGCTTGAAAAGTTGGATATCCATATCCAGAAGGATAAAACTGAACTCTTATTTCTCATAATATAAAAAAAAATCAACTAATGGTGGATTAAAGACTTAAACATGAGACCCACGACTATAAAACTACTAGAAAAAAAAAAAAAAAAAACAGAAAAAACCCTTAGGACATTGATCTAGGCAAAGATTTTATGGCTAGGACCTAGAAAGCAGAGACAAGTAAAACAAAAATAGACAAATGGGTTTGATCCTATAGCATCAAAAATAGGGAGTTATCAATGAAGAAAATACATTTAAGAACAATAGAGGAAAAAAAGAAAGGCAGTGATGAAACTACCCTGTAAAGTAACATTTCTTTTTGTTAATATAAAGAATATAACATTGCATTATTCTCCACAAATGTGCTAGCAAAATATCAAACCATTTGCTTTTCTAATGTATATAAGCAACTCATTGGCTAAGAAATATTTAATATGCTGAAGTACTGTTAGAATACTTGTGCAAAAACAAAAACCTCATCAAATTTAAGGCTTTAATACCCCTAGAGTCAATATCAACTTAATATCTGAATAAAATGCATTATTTTTGTAATATGTATAAAGTATATGCTATACATGCATACACAAAAAACACACACATATACTCTCAAAAAATATATATTTTTCACAACAGCATGGAGAAAATTCAAATTCTCCTGTGGATATTACCTTACATTTGTTTCAAATAAAATAGTCAAATTCAAATACCTTGTTAGTTAACATTTGTTATTAAAATATTTGTAACCATTTTATATTTATCGTTATTTTATTGCATTAGCTCAAGTTTTCTAAAACCACATGCGTATACATAAGTATAATTTACTTCATTTGTCATAATAATACCATATTATATGAAATTGATATCTTTTAATTTTACAAGGACATGTATGCTAAATGAGTATAACTCAAGCTAGTATCTTGAAATATATATGTAATTTATTTTTCTGATTTTTTGACTTCACATAAATACAAATACTAATATTTACATATTCATGTAGCATGCATGTATGTACATAGTGTGTTTTCCGTATATAGCATTTTATATAGATTGTGTTTTATGTATTCATGTAAGGCTAATGCCTTACAGTTAACAGATTTCTTTAAGCAAGCTAACTAATGTAATATGAGAATAAAATTTTGCTGTCTCTAAAATGCTAAAGTATTTGAAAATTAGTATAATATTTTTAGCTAGTGATGGAAAAATTTCCAGATGGTAAAAAATGTGAATGATAAAAATAGGCAAATTGAAATTAGAACTGTGATGGATTAATTTCCTCTTGGTTGTCGTTATGTTGTTTGTATCCATGCCAAATCCATGAGCCAATAGTCTCAAAACAACAGACAGGAAAGGAAAGAAAAATTTCCAGAGTGGTTTTCAATAACGTTTGCAATTTGAAAGTGAAAATAACTGTCCACAAAAAAATCTGGTTCTTTTGTTTAGTTTTTCAAAATGTATGTTTTAATTTTAAACACCCTTCTTTCCACATGCTTTTGAGTGTAAGTGCATACTAGATGATTACTAGAAAACAGTGCGGCCAAAGGTGGAGCCTTAGCTTTCCTGAGAAAATTTAACTTTCTCTGAGATGTATCTGTGTAACAAAGAATCCTCAATTAAAATAGGCCCACTATTTTTCCTTAAAAAGTAAAAATGAGTTTATCAGGCACTCATGAGACAAAATATGCAGGAATCAAGAAAAGTATAATTCTCCAAAATATGAGGTTAATTTTCCCATTGTCTTTTCCTGTCCAAAATTAATTTCTATTAATGAATGATAAGTTTCTACAATAGCTCAAGAAAAGTACTATGGTTTGCTGGCAAAATTCTTAGGTCTGAAAAAGGAACAGTGAAAGCTGATTTTAATTTCCCCATCCTACCACAACTATTTGACAGCTACATGACTAATACTACCTATGGAAAAAGCCTTGGCATTTGTTGGACCCTTTTAGCTTATAGGAAAATAGCACCAAATATCACACTGATCACACATGCAGTAAAACATAAATCGATGGAAATGTTCCTGAATGGGATATTTGGACATCTTATGTTTTCAGGCTGCTAAAAAAATATAACTTCTTTATGTTGAATATTCATTATTGATAATCCATTTTATTCTCATATTTGCCAAACATGTTTCAAACTACCCACAGATGTACCAAGGTTAAGGCTTCTGTAGCTAAATATCTCTGAGAAATGGTTTAATAAACACACTAACCCGTGCCTTTGGCATAACATTCTCAAATATATTAATATGCTAATAAGAACCATCGGTCTCCACAAGGGCACCACACCATGTGGCTGTTCCAATGTAAAAGTGACTCACAAATCAACTAGAGTCCTCTTGTTTTTCAATTTCTAGGTAACGCGGCCCCAAAACATGAATTTTGGGGGGGGGATTTTGAAAGTTAAATGCCTACTATCATTTTTTTAAAAGTTTCATTGCAGATTTGAGGCAGGTTAGAGAAATGAGAGAAATGACAGTGGCAAGTTTGGGGATCTTGAAACCTACTTAATTTTATAAGCACTCTCTAAGAAACAGTAACTAAAAAATTACTAACATTTAACAAGGCATAAAAGTTAATATTCACTTGAAAGGAAGAAAGAAATCATAGGACATGGATGAAGCTGGAAACCGTCATTCTCAGCAAACTAACACAGGAGGAGAAAACCAAACACTGCATGTTCTCACTCACAAGCGGGAGTTGAACAGTGAGAACACATGGACAGAGGGAGGGGAACATCACACACCGGAGCCTGTCGCAGGGTGGGGGGCAAGGGGAGGGATAGCATTAGGAGAAATATCTAATGTAGCTGACCGGTTGATGGGTGCAGCAAACCACCATGGCACGTGTATACCTATGTAAAAAACCTGCACGTTCTGCACATGTATCCCAGAACTTAAAGTACAATAAAAAAAGGAATCATAACAAACAATGTTCATTTTAAAAGCTGATATATTCCACAAACATCACAACGCTTAGAAAATTAATACTTGCATTGTTTTTTATTATACATTTGTCACCATTTTTAGCAGCATACTCTTTGATAGTTTCTTTACATGACAACAATTTTGAAATAACTTCTGCAGTAAAAATAAAAGTCTTCCGGCAGGGTTAATTAAAATTTTTTTTTGGAGGTTTAAAAAATTACTTTCAATTTAGCAAATTAGCCTTGATGATGCCATGCACATTTTTAGGATAATTGTCAAATCTGAGGAATTCTCTATGAAATTTCTTTCATATGTGAACTGTAATATTTACAGTATTTCAAGTTCAATTGTTTGTTAAACAATATTAACTATTTCTTGAATTGATGATACTTATTGCCATTTTGTCTCCAGTGTCCTTATTGAGGTGACATAAGTTTATGTATACTATCTTTAATGATATCAAAATTTTGGTTAATTTGATATTTTATTGTGTTAACTATGATTCATAATTCTACCTATGTGATCTATAATTCATTTTGGTTAATATTTATTAAAGTTTTAGCTCTCAGCCTTGCTATCCATGTATCAACAAATGTTTTGTGTGTGAATTTGTAAATGCAAGTGATCTTTATTAGAAAATTTCAGGAAAAAAATCTTTAGAGAATTAAGAAGGTAGGAAAAATGCTTTCTGCAACAGCAAGAAGAGATATTAATGCCACTTGGGGTTAAAAATTGAGACTAGAGAGTCTGTGTTGATTAATATTTATTGTTATGGCTTGTATTACATAATCATTCATATAAAATGATCATGCTTGTTAATTGGTTGTCTTGTATAATAATTCTCAATTTGAAATATTTTATCAATAAAGGCAGAAATATTGGCTTCTTTTATCTTAGTAAATGAATCTTTAAAATTTTATTTTATTTCCATTTGTGTATAAACACGAATAAATCATGATTCTGATGAATTCCATATTTTAAAGGTATATTTATGGGATTGTTTTTCATTCACAGTCACAGATTTAACTTTTATTAATGTGGTCCTGTAATTTTTTTAGTTGATATATTTATTTGAGATACTTTTGTTGATATTTACACATGACACAACACTGATCTATTTTTTTCAACATTTTCATTGTCAAGTTCTGGTTTCAGTGTCATAAAATTTCAATAAAAATAAATTGGAAATTTTATTTTTCAAACATTTCAAAAAGTTTAAATAGCATTGCAGTTAGGCAGACATTATAGTATAGATAGAACTTTGGGCCTTGTGCTTGGTTTTGTTTTCTTGGGAGAGGAGAAGGTAATGTTAAATCCTTAATGAGTCTCTTCTGGGTCCTTGTACTGAGTTAGTCTCTTCTGGAGTTAATTTAATTTTTTTTTATTTGAAAACTACTTATGGTCAGACTTGGTGGCTCACGCCTGTAATCCTAACACTTTGGGAGGCCGAGGTGGATCACTTGAGGTCAGGAGTTTGAGACCAGCCTGGCCAACATGGAAACCCCATCCCTACTATACAAAAATTAGCCAGGCATGGTGTTGGGCACGTATAATCCCAGCTACTCGGGAGGCTGAGGCAGGAGAATCGCTGGAACCCGGGGACGGAGGTTGCAGTGAGCCAAGATCATGCCACTTCACTCCAGCCTGGGCAAAAGAGCAAAAAAGTAAAAGAAAACTATTCATTTCATCCACATTTTCAAATTTCAGTGGAAATAAGCAAATTATTCATATTAGTCCTAGTCAGGAAAATATAAACTACTCCAGACATTTTAAACAGAGGACATTTAATACAGGGAATTGGTTGCATAAGTGATAGAAAAGCTGAATGACTAAACAGAATACAATAAGGAACTCTCCAGAGAGCAATAGCATGAAGCTGCTTCCCTGGAGACACAGAGGAAACAGTTAATGTTACCGGAATCCCAAAGCCAGGGCTGTCAGGTGGAAACAAGAACCAAACAGAAGAGGCCTGGGATGAGCTAGAACCATGGAAACCGGGGCCTGATGAGTGAAAGTTAGAATCATTGAGAAGATGTAGATGTTTCCTTAGGCACTATCTGAATGAAGGATAAGAGAATATCCTGGATTGTCCTTGGTATTTTCCTAGGCAGAATATTCCCAGAAGAGAAAAACCAGGGAGAAGGAAAAATATAGTTCTCACTGATAAAGAACAAAACAAGGAAAGAGCAGGGAATGAATATAAGAATAATCAGGTGAATTTTTAATCTTCTGTTTCCCCACTACCTTCTCTTAATTTATACATATGAACACAGAAATTTCACTCTATGTTCATGTGCAGGACAGCTAAACGATCTATTCATTAGCTTTTCTTCAAACACCCAGGCCGTTTCCATTTCTAGAACTGTGGTACAATAGACGCTGGACAAAACCTACTGTTTCAAAAGTTTCACATACAATATGTGATTGCCTTCTGCAAATAGCTGCCAGCAGAGCCTAAGCCAGCATCACTCTCTAACAGTGTACAGTATTTGATCAATAGACAAAGGATTCTACATATTACTACATGGAAACAAGAAAGCCACTTCACAAGAGAGGATGTGTGTCATTGGGCGAATTACCATGGGATTCAGTAGCTTATCACATACCATACCACTCAGGAGCTGCCAGCCTAATAGGTCAACTGAATGGCTTTTGGAAGGTGCATTTGCTGTCTCAGTTTAGACATGATGCTCTGAGAGGTTTGGACCCACCCACAATGATAGAGAATACATATCAACAAACACTATATGTTGTTGTGTGTCCACCAACTATAAAACATGATACTTGGAGCCAAGAGATGAATATAAACATTCCCTTCTCATTATAAATTCACATTGCCTGCCTTAGGGAATTTGTTCTTCCCATGTCCCCCACTTTAGGATCTGTACATGGTATGTACTACCTAAGTGTTCATGGTTATTTTTATTTTATATTAATAATAGCTTATTATTTTGGCATTGTATGAAGACAAACTTAGATGAATGTTTTTCACTATAGACAAGAAAATATTCTAGAAAAAATTCATAATATAACAAAATCATAAAAATGCAATATTAAGAAATATAAGAACATATGAATGTATTTCTTATATAGTGACTAAGTCTTCATAATCTCCCATTTCTTATCCCCTACTTTGTCTTAAACAACTTTATCTAACTATGAATTTCTAGCCTGTTTTTGGAAACAGAATTTAAGCAAAATGACATATAACAAAGCCAATCTTACCATAAGCTAATTGATATAAACAAGAGTTAAGTTGCTATGGAATATTTCTTTATAATAACACTGCCAAACTTCTAAATAAAGACCTGAATCATTCTTGATATTAAACATTGAAATAAATGTAAGCTACACATACATTTAGGAAAGATTAATAAGTACAAGTAAGATGATTATGTATCCAGGTGTTGGTGAATCAGTGAGTTACGGCGGTCACAGTGGTGGTGGGGTATATCAAGGAATAAATGTTTGCAAAGGGAAAATTGTAAAGAACACTTCCTCCCACCACAGTTCAAAAACAAACTATCCAATATGGTAGGCTCCCTGAGTGCCTTCTTACCACATTGTTTATTGTTTTCTGTTTGTATGAGTACGGCATACTTTACAAATTTCTATTTTGCAATAATGTGTATTTACTCATTTATTCATTTTTCAACCCATTTATTCCAGTTCAGGGTCATGGGTGGCCAGAGCCTTTCCTAGCAGCTCAAGATAAAAGGTGGTAATCCCCTCCCATTGCAGGACACATCCACACTCACTCAGACTGGGACCATTTAGACACACCAATGAACCTAACATGCACAGTGCTGGCACATGAGAGAAAACTGGAATACCTGGACAAAACCCACCCAAACATGGGGAGAACATTCAACTCCACACAGATAGTGATCCAGGCCAGCAGGAAATGAACTTTTTTTTCATCAACATTATAACAAAACAATGTTATTTGAGGAAGGGCTATGCCCTTGGTAGCTATGAAAGTATCATTAGAAGTTAAGGACAATAGACACACTGGAACAGTTTGCATAGTTCAAATAGTTACTTCTATCTACCTTAACTTAGGAATATGAGAATCCCTAAATATATATCTTGACTAAGAAGACACGTTTTCAAGAATATGACATGTTAAAAATTAGACTCTTAAGAAAAACACACCAAGGGTAGAAATGAGCAAATAAACTGCCATAGAATTATCTTTATCAATGCTAGTTATTGCAATGAAGGTTTTGTTCAAATATAGAAAGTATGTGGGAGGTTATAAAGAAAAATGTTTCACTAAGCCTTAAGGCTGTGTAGAGTTTATAAAAATTACAGCAATTTTCTAATATGAATAAGAAGAAAAAAGATGAGGAGGAAGTGGAAAAAAGCAAGTTTGTCTTCCAAAAGGTCAAATGACAAGTATCGATGCCAATTTAAAAACACTGACTGTTGTTTATACCTTAATACAAGCAAAATTTCAGACATAAGACCAGATTCATATTTAAATTTAAAAATATATTTCTAATTCCCGTATGCTATTGATTGGCATGGAAAGGATTTATTGACTTAGGAAATGAGAATTTTTAAAAGTTGGTCTTCTGATAAGTTTAAAATTATACTACAATATCTTTCTAAATTTTACAACATGGTCAGCATTAAATATAATGCATTGCTTACAAAAATTTGTAATTCAAAATTCCAAAATCTCAGACTAACCATGAGAAAACACTAGACAAACTCAAATTCTACAAAATCCCTAACAATAACTCTTCTAAAACTATCAACATCATAAGGAACAAGGAAAACTAAGAAACTGTAATAGATTGGAGAAGACAAAGGAGATATTAAGACGAAATGTGTAAACACAGAATGTGTTATCCTAGATTGTATCTTAGAATAGGAAAAGATAATTAGTAAAAAAATACTGACCAAACCCAAATAAAGTCTGTAGTTAATAGCACTGTACTACTATGAATTTCTTAGTTTTGATGTTATGTAACACGTTGACATTAGGGGAAGTTAGGTGAAAGGTACACAGGAACTCTCAATACTATCCTTGCCACTTTTCCGTAGATCTTAAGTTATTCCAAAATACAAGTTTGTTAAATTTTTATAAGACAATAATAAATTTAGTGGTTTTCTTTATAACGTATTTCCAGGTAACCTCTGTCACTCAGGACTAGGTATTATTGTGGTTTCATGATTAAGGCATTTTATTCACAGTGAATTTTCACTATTGACACTGTTATGAGGATAACAATGAATATATAACACACAGACAGACACACACACACACACACACTACATATCCTGAGTGATAAAGATAAATAACCTTTGTGCACAGAACAAAATAAACATTCTCAAGGACTTATAAAGTTCTTAAATTTTATGATAATAATAATAATTATTACTATTATTACCCAACATTAATCAACATCACTGCAAACCTGGCATTATTCTAGGCACTTTATTCACTGATTTATTTAACAAATATTTAATGAGTTCCTACAACGTCCCTGACACTTTTCTAGACAGTAGAGATAATCAGTGAACAAAAAAGATAGCCTCTGTTATGAAACATACATGCTAGTAGGGAGACAGACAGTAAATAAACATATGACAAATTTATAAAGTAAAGCAATGGTAAGTATAATCAAGAAAAGTCAATCAGGGTGATAGGGAGCAGTAGCTTTTCAATGAAGGTGACATTGGAACAGAGACCTGAGTGAAGTGAGGTAACAAAATACAGAATATTTGAGGAAAAGATGTTCCAAACAGAGAAATGATTATGTAATACAAGCTGGAAAAAAATATATAAAAACAACAATACTTATCATGATCTACGGTTGACAAATAAACAAATCACTGATCAAACATAATAGAGTTTTGAAGGTTAGTACCAAAGTAATTCATTATGGAAAATGCTTGCAAATGCTTCCACGAATTGAGAGCATTACTAAGGAAGGAAGGGTAGAGAGGTTTCTTATCTTACTATAAGTCCTTCTGAAATATTAGATGCTTTATTATGTGCCTATTTACTTTGTTAGAATTAAAACATTTTATCTAACTCTAAGTCTTCATTCAGTACTCCCATACATTTTATACATTAAAATTATCTTACTAAATTCATACCTAATGAGGATGGGGCCATGTCTGTATAAAACACCAAATTTTAAGAGTTAAGAATCCTTACTAGTAATTTTTCAGAGTTAGATATATGTGTTTTTCTATCTAATCTTCCTATTCCTCTTTGTTCTCTTTTTTTCTCTCTGATTCAATCATGAATATGCCCAGATCTTATATCGACTTCTTATTCTTAAATCCTACTTAGTCTCAACTCCCTTTGAAAGTCTTATATAATTTATAAATTTCTGACTGAAATTCTCAATCCTCATTGGAACTAACAAACATTAACCAAAACTTTAATTCTCAAACATATTGCCTGGCTAAGGGTTTTAGACAAGCTCTGAACATATTGTGAATATATCAAAATGCATATTTTCTTTCCTCTGTGTCAGTATTTTATAGAAGTCTCTTAAAGAGTCTGAAGGAGAACAGTTTGTAATAATCCATGCAAAATAAGAACAGGAAATATGATAATAAATTCTAAATATATTTAGCATGATTAATCTTTGTGAGTTGCACATGTACCATTTTCTACATAACTTTTTGAAAATAGTACTTGGGAGAAATTTGTCATAGGCTTTCAAAATTAATGTGTCAGGTTGTCATGAATAAATACTGAGATCTATGGAGCCAGTGCTTATTGTTTTGATTCTGCATCAAAGGCATTTTCAAACTGCCTTAAAAAGAAAGCACATCTTTTGCAGAAGCTTTCCAATATTAATTGACAGCAGCACTGTGCTTAAATATTTGATTTTTTTTTCAAAAAATATATGAATAAGTTGAATTACTTCAGAACAAAAGCAAATAAAGTTAAATAACTTTTCATTACATTGAAAACTATGGGATGGAAAGAGTTTCTATTTTTTAATACTCCTTACATAAAATCCCTTAAATTTTTACTGTTTATTAAATAATATTCCTTAAATATTTATATTAATTACTCCTCTTTAGCTCTTTCCTAAAGTATACAATTAATATTGTATATTTATTCCCAGTTTTTCATGATCAAACTTAATCTCTTTATTTTAGTTAAGTTTGTGTCAGCTTTTGTTAATTGTTGTTCAAGTAAAACAATCAAATAGCAGAAAGAGAAATTTTTATTAAAGGGCAATTTATCCTCTTAGCAAAGCTAGTGTTTTCATTCTGTCATATCAAAAAGAAAGCTTTATTTTTAGCCATTTGGTGCAAAATTAATAATTTTGTTTTGTTTTTAACATTGGTCTTCATAAAAGCATGTTCAACTCATATAAAAATTATTGGAGATTAGTACTTATACCACACATTATTTTTTAACAATATGAACTTAAATATAAATATATATGTACATAATCAGTGATGAAGCACTGTCACTTCTAGGAAGTTCACATTCAAAATAATGAGAAATTCAGGCCAGGTGCTGTGGCTCACGCCTATAATCCCAGCACTTTGGGAGATAGAGGCAGGCAGATCACCTGAGGTCAGGAGTTCAAGACCAGCCTGGTTAAAATGGTGAAAACCTGTCTGTACTAAAAATACAAAAATTAGCCGGGCATGGTGGCAGGCCCCTGTAATCCCAGCAACCCAGGAGGCTGAGGCAGGAGAATCACTTGAACCCGGGAGGCCGAGGTTGCAGAGAGCTAAGATCACACCACTGCACTCCAGCCTGGGTGACAAAGTGGGGCTCCATCTCAAAAAAAAAAAAAAAAAAAAGTAATGAGAAATTATTTAAAGAATGCCTAAAATATAAAAATGTATTTAATAAAGATATTCATTTATTCATCAAATGTACATTATATGTCAAATATTGGCCAAGCATTATCCAATTTGCTACTGATTCAGTCAGCGAGGCTGAGCCCAGTGCTCACAATCTATTGTAGGAAACAATCAGGCTGGGCTTGGTGGCTCACGCCTGTAATCCCAACACTTTCGGAGGCCAAGGCAGGTGGATCACCTGAGGTCAGGAGTACGAGACCCGCCTGGCCAACATGGTGAAACCCCGTCTCTACTAAAAATGCAAAAAATTAGCAGGGCATGGTGGTGCGCACCTGAAATCTCAGCTGCTCAGGAAGCTGAGGCAGGAGAATTGCTTGATCCTGGGAGGCAGGGGTTGCAGTAAGCTGAGATCTCGTCATTGTATTCAAGCCTGGGCAACAAGAGTGAAACTTCGTCTCAAAATAAATAAATAAATAAATAAATAAAGGAAAGAAAGAAAACAATCAAAAAAGTATCTTCCTAGAGGAAAGGTATTCTAAAACTTTTGAGGAGTGAGCAGAGAAGAGCATTCAGGCAAAGGAAGCCACAAAACATGATTCGTGAGGCAGCATCATACAACTATTTCAGAGGTGCCATGGAGGGTGGATTTGGGTGAGCTTTAGAATGGAAAGCGGGAAATCAGGAATGGAAAACTGGACAAAATGTGCCTCACATGCCATGTCAAAGAATTTGAACATTATTATTTACATAGAAACTGGAATTGCATTGCAAGTTTTTAGCAAGAATTTGACTTATGATATTCCAGAGGTTTCTGAATCAAAGAAAGATTGAATTCATCTATGTAGGTAAATAAGCTATCACTTTAAGAAATTTCTTTTTATAGAAAATCAATTGTACCTATTATAAAACATAACAGTTCATTCTACTTCCCCTTGTATTTCTTAGTTATTATTTATCTAAATAAACTGACATGTAAATGCACTTTTCTTTAAAATTATGATTGGTAGAGCTTCCAGAGTCTCTCCCACTTCAACTAACTCTTCCTAACCATATTTTCAGAAAACTAAATTGTACCGAAAGATAATACAGAAACTTGTAATTTTCTAGCCACCTTCCTCCTACTTTAAAGATCTGAAAACTGGAGGCCAAGAGGAGAAATTAATTTCCCCATGTCAAACAGCTTTGTGTAAAAATCAAGATTCCCTAAAAAGGGAAAGTATCTGTAAATTATGCCTCAAAAAACTTGACTTTTAAAAAAATGAGCATTATGTTAAGGGCATACATAGATTTGAAGGAATTGTATAAGTCCATTTTCACACTGCTATACGGACACTCTCTGAGCCTGGGTAATTTATAAGAAAGGAGGTTTAATTGACTAACGGTTTTGCATGGCTGGGGAGGCCTCAGGAAACTTGCAATCATGGCATAAGGTAAAGGGAAACAAGGCACACCTTACATGGTGGCAGGAGAGAGACAGAGTGAGTGGGGAACTGCTAAACACTTCAAAACCCTGAACTTTCATGATAACTCACTCACTATCATGAGAACAACATGGGGGAAACCATCCCCATGACATAGTCACTTCCCACCAGGTCCCAACCCTGACACACGGGGATTACAATTTGAGATAAGATTTGGGTGGGGAGACAGAGCCAAATCATATCAGGAATATACTAGAGAAAATTTAGACAGAAATTATAAATAGGATAACTACCTTAACTTGTATGACATTTTGATATTTGCATTTTCTTATTTCTTCTTTTTACATATACTGTTCTCAAAAAACGTGGACATTGGGCAGAGAAGATAATATTATTTCACGTTTACATATGGAGATAAGTGAACCTCAGAAGGACATATATGCACCCAATACAGAAGCACCCAAATTCATAAAGCAAGTTCTTAGAGACCTACAAAGGGACTTAGACTCCTACACAATCCTAGTGAGAGATTTTAACACCCCACTAACATATTAGACATATCATCAAGAGAAAAAATTAACAAACATACGCAGGACCTGAACTTAACCCTGGATCAAGTGTACCTGATAGATATCTACAGAATATACATTCTTCTCATTGCCTAATGGCGGTTACTCTAAAATTGATTACATTGTCGGAAGTAAAACACTCCTCAGCAAATGCTAAAGAACTGAAATCATAACAGTTTCTCAGACCACAGTGCAATCAAATTAGAACTCAAGAATAAGAAATTTACTCAAAACTACACAACTACATGGAAACTGAACAGTCTACTCCTGAATGACTCTTGAATAAATGATGAAATTAAGGCAGAAATCAATAAGTTCTTTGAAACTAATGAGAACAAAAAGATAATGTACGAGAATCTCTGGGTTGCAGCTAAAGCAGTGTTAAGAGGGAAATTTATACCACTAAATGCATACATCAAAAAGGTAGAAAGATCTCAAGTTAACAACTTAACATCTCAACTAAAAGAACTAGAGAACAAAGAGCAAATGAACCCCAAAGCTGGCCGACGAAAAGAAATAACCAAGATCACAGCTGAACTGAAAGAGATAGAGACACCAAAAACCCTTCAAAAAAATTAACAAATCCAGTAGCTAGTTTTTGGAAAAAATAATAAAATAGAATACTAGCTAGACTAATGAAGAGAGAAAAATCAAATAAACATACTCAGAAATGAAAAAGGCAATATCACCACTGACCCACAGAAATACAAACAACCATCAGAGAACACTATAAACACCTTTATGCATACAAATTAGAAAATCTAGAAGAAATGGGTAAATTCCTGGACACATACACCCTCCTAAGACCGAATCAGAAAGAAATTTAATCCATGAATAGATGAATAATGAGTTCTGAAATTGAGGAAGTAATAAAGAGCCTACTGACCAAAAAACACCCAGGAGAAGATGGATTCACAGCTGAATTCTACCAGCATTACAAAGAAGAGCTGGTATCATTTCTTCTGAAACTACTCCAAAAATTAAAAAGGAGGGGCTCTTCCCTAATTCATTCTATGAGACCAGCATCATCCTGATACCAAAACCTGTCAGAGATACAGTAAATTAAAAAAAAAAACTTCAGTCCAATATCCTTGATGAACACTTATGCAAAAATCATCAATAAAATACTGACAGACCAAATCAGTAGCACATCAAAAAGCTTATTCACCACAATAAAGTCAGCTTCATATCCAAGATGCAAGGTTGGTTCAACATATGCAGATCAATAAATGTGATTCGTTACATAAACATAACTAAAGACAAAGCACAGATTATTTTCTCAACAGATGCAGAAAAGTCCTTCAATAAAATTCAACATCCTTCATGTTAAAAACTCTCAATAAACCGGTTATTGAAGAAACATACCTCAAAATAATAAAAGCCATCTATGACAAACCCACAGCCAATATAGTACTGAATGGACAAAAGCTGGAAGCATTCCCCTTGAAAACCAGCACAGGACAAGGAGGCCCTCTCTCACCACTCCTATTCAATGTAATAGGAAATTTCTGGCCAGGGCAATCAGGCAAGAGAAAGAAATGAAGAGAGGAAGTCAAATTATCTTTGTGGCAAATGACATAATCCTATACCTAGAAAACCCCATCACTTCATCCCAAAGCTTCTTAAGCTGATAAACAGTTTCAGCTAAGTCTCAGGATACAAAATCAAAATGCAAAAGTCTCTACCATTCCTCTACACCAACAACAGGCAAGCAGAGAGCCAAATCATAAATGAACTCCAATTCACAATTGCTATGAAAAGAATAAAATACCTAGGAATACAGCTAACAAAGTAAGTGAAGGACCTTTTCAAGGAGAGCTACAAACCATTGCTCAAAGAAATCAGAGAGGTCACACACAAATGGGGAAACATTCCACGCTCACAGAAAGAATCAATATCGTGAAAATGGCCATACTGCCCAAAGTGATTTATAGAGTCAATGCTATTCCCATTAAACTACCATTGGCATTCTTCACATAATTAGAAAAAACTACTTTAAAATTCACATGGAACCAAAAAAGAACCGGAATAGCCAAAATAATCCTAAGCAAAAAGAACAAAGCTGGAGGCATCATGCTACCTGATTTCAAACTATACTATACTACAAGGCTATAGTAACCAAAACAGCATGGTACTGGTACAAGAACAGACACATAGACCAAGGGTAAAAAATAGAGAATTCAGAAATAAAACTGCACACCTACAACCATCTGATCTTCAACAAACTTAACAAAAACAAACAATGAGGAAAGCACTCCCTACTTAATAAATTTTGCTGGGAATGCTGGCTAGCCATATACAGAAAATTAAAATTGGACTCCTTCTTACACCACATACAAAAATTAAGAGAAATTAAAAACCTAACTGTAAAACCCCAAACTATAAAAAAAAAAAAAAACGTAGAAGAAAACCTAGGCAATACAGTTCAGGACATAGGCTCAGGAAAAGATTTCATGATGAAAACACCAAATACAATTGCAACAAAAGCAAAATTGACAAACGGGATCTAATTAAGCTAAAGAGCTTCTGCACAACAGAAAAACTATTATCAGAGTGAACAGACAACCTACACAATGGGAGAAAATTTTTGCAATCTATTCATCTGACAAAAGTCTAATATCTTAAGTCTACAAGAAACTTGAACAAATTTATAAAAAAAAACACACACACAAACGACCCTATTAAAAAGTAGACAAAGGACATGAACATATACTTCTTGAAAGAAGACATTCATGCAGCCAAAGACATGAAAAAAGCTCAACATCCCTAATCATTAGAGAAATGCAAATCAAAACCACAATGAGATACCATCTCCCACCAGTCAGAATAGTGATTATTAAAAAGTCAAGAAACAACAGATGCTGGTGAGCTTGTGAAGAAAAAGGAGTGCTTTTACGCTGTTGAGTAAAATGCTTTTTACTCAAGTGTAAATTAATTCAACCATTGTGAAAAACAGTGTGGTGTTTCCTCAAAGACCTAGAAACAGAAATACCATTTGATCCAGCAATCCCATTACTGAGTATATACCCAAAGGAATATAAATCATTCTATTATAAAGATACATGCACATATATGTTCAATGCAGCAATATTCACAGTAGCAAAGACATGAAATCAACCTAAATGCCCATCAATGACAGACTGGATAAATAAAATGTGATATATATATATATACACACACACACAAACACACATATATATATCACATGGTATATATATATTATATTTACATATATATACCATGAAATGCTATGCAGTCAAAAAATATATATAAATAAATATATATTTTTATATAAATATATATTTATATAAATATATAAATTATTTTTATATATTTATATAAATTATTTATATAAAAATATAAATTATTTTTATATATTTATATAAATTATTTATATAAATTATTTAATAAATTATTTATATAAATATTTTATATAAATATTAAAATTTTTATATAAATAAATATTTATATAAATAAAAATATTTATTTATATAAATATTTTTATATAATTTATATAAATTATTTATTAAATATAAATAATTTATATAAATTATTTATTAAATATAAATAATTTATATAAATTATTTATTAAATATAAATAATTTATATAAATTATTTATTAAATATAAATAATTTATATAAATTATTTATATAAAATATAAATTATATATATAAATAAAATATACCATGGTATATTTTATACCATGGTATAAAATATATATACACTCCATATATCTATAAAATATATATAAACCATATATCTATAAAATATATATACACCATATATCTATAAAATATATATACACCATATATCTATAAAATATATATACACCATATACCTATAAAATATATATACACCATATATATAAAATATATACACCATATATATAATCTATATACACCATATATATAAAATCTATATACACCATATATATAAAATCTATATATACACCATATATACAAAATATATATATATACCCTATATATAATATATATACCATATATATAAAATATATATACCATATATAAAATATATATACCATATATAAAATATATATACCATATATAAAATATATATACCATGGTATATTTTATTTATGTATATATAATAAATGGTATATTTTATTTATATATAATTTATATTTTTATATAAATATATATTTTTTATATATATTATATATATACACCATGGTATATTATATATATATACACACACACCATGGTGTGTGTGTATATATATATATAGCATGAAATGCTATGCAGTCAAAAAAAGAATGAGATCATGTCCTTTGCAGGGACATGGATGGAGTTGGAACCCATTTTCCTCAGCAAACTAACACAGGAACAGGAAACACATGTTTCCACTTATAAGTTGGAGTTGAATGACGAGGACACATGGACACAGGGTGGGGTGGTGGGGTGGGAGGGCATCAGGAAGAATAACTAATGGATGCTAGGCTTAATACCTAGGTGATGGGATGATCTGTGACAAACCACTATGGCACATGTTTACCTATGTAACAAACCTGCACATCCTGGAAATGTACCCAAAATAAAATTTCAAGGAAAAAAAAGGAGAAGTAAATAAAACAATACATAAATGCACTTGAAACATTGTCTGGCACATAAATAATAAACAAAAAATTTTAAAAAACTTTTAAACAGAATCAAAAACAAGTAAAACTAGTTTATAACAAACACAACTCACAGTAATCATTACTCTTGGGAAGGGGAAATGATCAAAAGAGGGTGAAAGGGGGATATTGATTGTTGATAATGTTCTGTTTCTTGATGTGTTGGTCAGATGGATTATTTCATTTGGGAAAATTTCTTGAACTACACACAGTAAGTACACCTTTCTGTATGCATGTTATAGCTTAATAAAAAGTATTTTAATTACAAGAAAACACAAAAGAACAACGATAAAATATTATAGATTTTTTCCCATTATGTTTAGAAATTGTGGCTGAAGATATCCCTGGTTTTTATGGAGATGAATAAACATCCTTAATGGGCTGGAGACTTCCGATTCTAAACATGTGTACGGATTCTAAAATTCTACACCAAAAGTATAAATGTATTTGAAACAATTTTAAAATATCTGTAGAAAAACTAAAATTTTTATGCTAACTTCATAGTTTTTGGGATTTACTTTTAAAAAATAGGAACTACCACTATATACTTCAGTAATAGTTAATTTTACAAAACCAAATATACTTAATAAATTTATAAAGATGTATTTTAAGGATTCTGCTTTATGTTTATTTGCTTATATGCCATCCTATCTTACTACACTGGAAAGCACTTAAAGGCAAGAGCTGTGTCATTTATTTTGCTATTTCCGCCATCTGGCATAGGTTCATAGTATCTTACGCATGTTTTTGAATTAAAGAATAACATGGCAATAGGTGAGTTAAGATACAGAAAAGATAAGTATATTTTCTCCACTTTTCTTCTTACCACACCCCAGTCAACCTTCGTCAGTCCACAAGCCATGAGGACACGCAAGCAGCACTATAGAGAAGGTATCACAGCAAGGAACTGAGGCCTTAGCCAAGAGCCAACACCAGCTAGACAGCTGTGTGAGGGAGCCGCTAGGGAGGTGGACCCACCATTCCAGTCAATACTTCAGGTACTTGTATCCTGGCCAATATCTGGCTGAAAACACCTGAGAGAGTCTCAGCTAGAACTACTGAGGTAAGCCACACCTGAAATCCTGAGCAACAAAAAGAAGAGGTAGTAACCATTTTCGTTCTAATGCACTAGTTAAGATAATTTGTTACAGATGAAGAGGCAATCACATGGCTAGAAATACAATACTTTAAGTACACAAATTCAATTATTGACAGCAAAGTATTGGAAACAAGCAAATTGCCCGACCATAGAAGATAATGAATTATGGTACATCTGTATGACAGAGTACTATGCAGCCATGTAGAAGAATGACAAATGTCTCCATAAACTGATACGAAGTAGTTTCCCATATAAATAATTACATAAACTAAAGACCTTTAAAAATACCTTAACAACAACATCACCCAAGAAAGCAAACAACTGAATAAATGAATCAAGTGTAGCAAAGTCTGATTATTCTGGAATCTGTACTTTCATAATATTCTTGTTTCATTGAGTGTTGTTGATTATTTCATGCTAAAAATTTTAAAACCTAGAAAGTTAAACAAATTATGTAAAATAGTTTTATTCACTATGAAAACTTCCTTCTGTTTACGTAAGATTAGACCTGCAGTTTCAAGAAAAGGAATCATAGCTGTTTAGCTACCCACTCTTCCTTCCTTAAGGTTTCAAAAACAAAAAAATTGAAAGATGCAGGATGGGCCAAGGGCTCATGCCTATAATCCCAGCACTTTGGGAGGCCGAGCTGGGTGGATCACCTGAGGTCAGGAGTTCAAGACCAGCCTGACCAACACGGTGAAACTCCATCTCTATTAAAAATACAAAAAATTAGCCAGGTGCGGTTGTACGCAACTGTACTCCTAGCTACTTGGGAGGCTGAGAAACCAGAATTGCTTGAACCCAAGGTGGAGGTAGCAGTGAGCCAAGATAGAGCCACTGCACTCCAGCCTGGGTGACAGAGCAAGACTCCATATTTAAAAAAAGAAAACAAAGAAAGATGAATATATTAATACCTAATCGGGTTTTAATTGTTCTCAATCCAAAATGGTAGAGAACCACTCATTTGAAAAATTAGGTTCTACCATCTTTTCACTCATAAGAATCTCCAGAGACCACTAGGTATTACTCCACAGAGTGCAGGGATGAATGCATGCATCTTGGCAACATTTGCTGACCCTGAAAATGTGCTATTAATTGCCCAAGCATTAAAACACATTCCGCTCTGTAATTATCTTAAATATAATAATAATCATCTCAGTACTTTGGTAAAAAGCATTGGGTTTAAAAAGCACGAATAATTAATGAGACTTACTAAATTTTATTATCTTGATGGAAGAGAAAATGTAAGTGCTCTACCCATTACTTTGTGGAAAATCATCTGTCAACTCCACCGGACCTACAAAATAAGCAAAATCTATGACTTTCGTTTATTTTTGTAAGAATAAATCGTAATAATTAGAATTTGGAGATTGGGAAAAAGGAAAATCCTTGAATCTTATTATTTAAGAGAGAATTGTCCCGAAATTTTGAAATATATATATATTTTTTATTTCATGCACCAAGAAGGAGATATTCATATGTTACCCTTAAACTACAATTCACAAGGCTAACATTCAAAATAGGTTAATCAGCAGGGCACAGTGGTTCATGTCTGTAATCCCAGCACATTGGGAGACCAAGGCGGGCAGATTACCTGAGGTCAGGAGTTGAAGAACAGCCTGGCCAACATGACGAAACCCCATCTCTACTAACATACAAAAATTAGCTGGGCATGGTGGCGTGCACCTGTAATCCCAGCTACTGAAGAGTCTGAAGCAGGAGGATTGCTTGAGCCCAGGAGGTGGAGGTTGCAGTGAGCCAAGATCACACCACTGCACTGAAGCCTAGGTGACACAGCAAGACTCTATCTCAAAACAAGCAAACAAATGAACAAAAAACAAAGGTTGGTCTTTTATCAAAATATATTCAGTTAAACATATGCAACTGGAAGTCCAAAAAGCAATCACAGAAAAGAGACTGGCTTGCCCAAATATGGTAGAAATATGGCATTATTTTGATCCTAAAACATTCACAGAAGGAGCTGACCGAATGACATGGTTTTGGGATCAAATATTTCTACACCACTGGAGTTGTTCTAAGGTGAGAGTAGAGGAAGTTGTAGGCCTTAGACCCAGTACAGGAAATGTGTCCATTAAAAAAGCAACCAATACAAGCAGCTGAAATAAGTCCAGCACTGTTCTCTGTGATATGCAGTTATTTCCTAGGTTTATTATCAATAATACCAGTCATTTACCTCAAGAAAATATAATGAACTTTTGTGTTATCACAGTCGTGATTTTTTTATCATAAAGATTAATACTGTCTAAAAAGTCTTTAGCTCATTTAACTTTACTCAAACAACTAAAGTACTTAATGAGAAATGTTCCAACCCTTTCTAGTAATTTGAATTATTAGACCCAGTACCATAATATTATAATCTCAATGTATAATAAACTCTTAATATTTTACTCTAATTTTATTTATTTATTCCAGATTTATTAAGGAATATTTGACAAAGAAAAATTGTGTATATCTACAGTGTACTATGTGATGTTTGGACATAAGAATACATTGTGAAATCATTAAATCAAGTTAATTAGCATATTCATATTTTTGTATGTGGTGAGAACATGTAAGATCTACTTTGTTAGCAATTTTCAAGTATGCAATAATTATTAACTAGAGTCATCATGCTATACAATGGATCTCAGGAAAGAGGAACATGTCAGTCAAAGAGCACAAAGTATCTTCCTTAAAGCAAGTCTTAAATCCTATAAAGAAAAACAAAACAAATAACAACAAAAACTGAAAGTCCTATAGCTCTGCCTTTTTATATTTTTAACTGATTTAGATTATTATGAATTGTGGCTTATTGATAGTGATAATGCTTTTCATGCTTTGATTCTCCAAAATGATCTAAATCAAGTTTAATAAAGTTGCGGCAAAGAACGATTTCATTATTTCACTCCTTTTATGGCTTCATAGTATTCCATGGTATATAAGTACCACATTTTCTTTGTGCGATCCACCATTGATGAGTGCCTAGGTTGATTTCTTGTCTTTGCTATTGTGAATAGTGCAGCAATGAACAGACAATGAACGTATGAATGCCTGTGTCTTTTTGATAGAACAATTTATTTTCCTTTAGGTATATACCCAGTAATGGGATTGCTGGATTGAATGGTAGTTCTGTTTTAAGTTCTTTCAGAAATCTCCAAACTGCTTTCCACAATGGCTGAACTAATTTACATTCCCACCAACTGCGTATGAGCATTCCCATTTCTCTGCAGCCTTGCCAGCATCTATTGTTTTTTTGACTTTATAATAATAGCCATTCTGACTGGTGTGAGATGGTGTCTCATTGCAGCTGGAGGCCATTATTCTAAGTGAATTAATGCAGGAACAGCAAACCAAATACTGCATGTTCTCACTTACAAATGGGAGCTAAACATTGAGTATACATGGACATAAAGATGGGAACAATAGACACTGGGGACTACTACACACAGGAGGGAGGTAGGGGGTGTGTGGGGTGAAAAATACCCCACATGGGATCCATACCCCAAACCTCAGCATCACACAATACACACGTGTAACAAATCAGCACATGTACCCCCATATCCAAAATAATAGTTGAAGAAAAATAAAAGAATGTGAAGCCTCTCGTCCTTCTTTTAAACACTTCCGTGCTTTGACAGTCAATATCTTTTCTTTAAATTTCTTCTCCCTCTCTTCTCCTTTGATATCTTTCCTAACCATTCTTTATATCAGCATAGAAAGTTACATTTTGTCTCCTACCTTTTTCAATATGCTGTCCTGTGTGGTAAGAAAATGAAAAACAAACTCTTTTTTACATTATTATGATTTACGTTTCTTAAGTGATATATTCCAGTGGCAGTGGGAATGGGGCATTTGGAGAAGGCTGGAGGGAAACATTTCGATCTGTAAGTACCAAGGGGAAATAAACATAATGATGGCAGTAACGCTACAGTGCTGACTTGGGGAGAGTTACAAAAGCTGTAAGCTTCATGGAAAACTGTCACATCATGAATAATCATATTCATCATCATACACATGTCAGTGACAAAGTATTAAGTGGAAGTGTTATATTCAAAGAGAGATTTTTGGTCATCCTCAACTATGATTAAAACACTTTCTTAGGGGCCCCAAGTTGATCCAAGAGAAATAGAAATATGTTTTTATTAATTTAGTATGCACTGTGATAAGAGAATTAAAGAACATCAGATTGAAGTAAGCATGTAACATACAACCTTACTATGGATGTAGGCATTAATTGCTATTGACCACTAAGTCTATCTGAGTATATATAATTAGAATAATATTAAATTTTAAAAAAACTAAGTTATGAGTAATGAATGTATAACAAGGTATTGTTAATTGAGATATAATTTTATTTATATGATAAACTTAATACTAGGTGAGAAGTTTAGCACATTTGCAGAACATATATGCACTTCTAAGTTTCACTTAAAGGCAGTTTCACTAAAATTCACTACTAGGTGGCTAGAACTTTAATGTATATAAAAGCTAAACTTCACATTTCTTTTGCTATATAAATCATAAAATGCCTTTGAAAATGCCTTTGAGAGCATTGACCGCTTTAAATAAAGTGCAAGCCCTGTTATAAAATGTTAGTGACAAAAATTAATTTCAAAAAGTAAATAATTTCAGAAAACATATGTGCTTATATATGATTCATGATCCTAAAAGAATTAAAAATAACTCTAGTTATTGATTTTATCCATCCTTTTATAAACAATAGAAATTTAATTTCAGAATTTACAAAGAAAATGTCTTTAAATAAGGCAACTGATAAGTTTCTGCCTGTTTCCAAATTTCCATAATAGAATAAATGTATCTCTAAGTTACAAATGTGCATAATTTCAGTTATTTTATGATAACCCTTCACTGGCTTTCTAGATATTCTTACCACTGCATTTTGGTGCATTGTATTAATAATGTCTTGATGTATCTTGTGGCTTAATTCAGTGTTGTTAAAGGTGACCTTTTGATTTGATTGTTTAGCTGACTTTGGTGCTAATAAGATAAAGAATGAGGTGTCTAATGAACCTTGTATATGGAAATAATGATAGATGGCTTATTTGGAATTCTACAGACGCAGCACTGCCAAGGCTGCTGAGGAGTCTTTGGATCCTAACTAATTTTAGAGAGGTTTTATTGATTACACAGAGACAGGGCACATTTTAATCATTTTTACAGCACTGTATTGCCTGAGGTACCAAAATCCATTAAACAAGGATTATAAACTTTATTTTAAACTGGATCCTAAATTGTTTCTTGATGTATAGTCAACAACGGCTCTGTAATATCAATCACAGTTACTAAGGCATATTAAAATCAACTTGTTTAATTTTAATTGCTCATATGCCTGACCCTCTGAGAAGCAGCTGTTCATGAAGCTAAATTACTTTTCTCCCAGATAGGAGTTTCATTTTAGTTTATGTTGCGATCATTTCTTTCCTAAGGCTACCAACATGTTCTGTTTTTTACATGTCTACTTTTAATTTTTTCTTCCTATCTTTAAAAATGTACTAGAAATGACTCCAAGATATGACATTTTTTGTCATTCTCTACATCTTTTAATCTTTCTAGGGAATAAGTGTTTCAGTTAAATTATTTGAGTTGAAAATTAAAATCATACAAGAACCTATGCAAATGTTTCATGTGGATGTATTCTTACAGAATAAAAAGTAGGATGACTAGACCATACACCTGGGAGCAAAAATATTTAGTTTGTTTAACAGAATGTGAGTTTTCTTGTTTTAAATCAGCACTTTGTGTGTTTGATGTATTGCATAGATTTAGTATAAATATGTGTACTCGTTAAATATTTATTAAAATGTAAAGGATTATGAATCAATACCCATATTGTGTAACACTTGAGAAACAAAGGGGGATAGAAAATAAACCTGTGAGCATGACTTCTCTGGGAATAAATTGACTTGAACAATAAGAATACCTGATTCGAGACCTGGTTTTCCCACTAAATTATTATGTGACCAACAGGTTAGCTAATTCATTTGGAAATCTATTTCCACATTTTTAAAATAAAAATAAAATTTTTCTTAAGTCACATGGAAATTTGAATTTTATTATGTCAGTACATCTGACGTATTTTAGAAATGTTAATGCCCTTTCTTAGTGTTCATGTGTCTATATACACATTTGTTGACTCAGATATAATATCTACTCAATTTGTCTAAGAGTCAATATATATACAAATACCTATAGAGAGGAAACTGGTAGAGGGAGGAAAGAATGCAATATGAGGAAGAATTCATCTTAAAACCATATATTTTATGTTAAAATGAGCTTCATGCATTTTCAAAGCTATAGGTTCAAAATAACTAGATCAACACTTAAAACCACTATCTTACTAGTTTCATAGTGGTCTAAACACTAAAACTGCATTACCACAAAATACATCCATTACATGTATATGAAGTGAAATCTTAATTTTCTTATTTTTTCTTCAACTCTCTAGCTTCAACTCAATAAAAATGTTTAAAAATTAACTTTAATGTTTTGAATTTCAAATGAAGTTGAATACCACTATTGGTGACATGTCCTTAAACATAAGTTGAGTAGGAAAATCACTAGCATTATCATATTTAGTAATGTGTATATTACCTCACTTTTTTAATATCAAAATGTGCCCACTTATGCATCCATTATAATTATGAGTCACTGATTATTCTGATCAAACCATTAAAGATGCAGGAATGAAATGTCAATGTTGGATTAAGGTTTTCCTTTTTTTGTCTTTAAATGCATTCCAAGTTAACATCAGTAAAACACTTTGTCAATTTCCTAAGGAAAAGAAATAAGTATAGCATGACATGGTATACCACTTAGTGTTGGCTAACTGGTAACAATCCACCCCAAGATGTACTATGTATTGGCCAAATTTAACAAATAATTATTACTTTTCATAATACTTAGGTTTGGTTGAGAAATTCTGGCAAAGGCAACTAAGCTGAGGCTGATGTATAGGATCATCTCATTCACACGTCTGGTGACTCAACTGGAATAGCTGAGGCTGCTTTCTACATGGTCCTTCATCCTTCAGCAGGCTAGCCCAGGCTTCTTCACATAATCATAGAAGTATTCCTAGGAATAAAGAACAATTCCTGAGGGGTAAGAATTTTTTCACTTTTGTTTAGGTCACTTTTGCTATGGTCCCATTTAACAAGTCCCATGGCCATGCCCAGTCAATGTGGGAGAAGACTACCAAAGGATGTGGATACAAAGAAGCATGAATACACTAAGGTCCAGTATGATATAGTCTATCACACAAGGCATCATGTACTATTCTTATACTTTTTACATATTTATATATGATTAATACTGTTGATGTCCACTTACATCCCTTTACCTGAGGGGCACTTTTGCACCTCAGCTGCTGTAGGCAATACCTACAAAAAGTGTGTACTTTTGACTAGTTAGAGTTATGAATTTTTTACCATTTTTAACAACCAAAAGAATTCTGACCAGTACCTTATTATTTCTGTTCTTTAATACAACAATAAATATACAATTGCAGCAAACTATACCTTAAGTACTTAGTTTGATATCAATTTTTAAGACTGAAAATAAGTATTTATAATCTAATTTATTCTTTTAATTTTTTCCATACAATTTAAGGCTGTTATTAAACACTATGGTGGGTCACATTTATTGTTTATATGAAAAATCAGGAAAGTAAAAACAAAATACTTGCCAAGGCCGAGTGATAAGAAAAGTTGGTATTAAAGAACTGAGGTCATATTTTACTTTTAACATGGTAACTGAGGAAAAAATGAGTATATATTAATATGTAGAAATATGTTAGCATTTAACTATAATTTAAGAAAGTTAAAAATAAAACTCAGAAATAATTAAACAATATAAAGACTTTTAATATGCTTATCTAAGATGGTATTTATATAATTATCTGTGAAATTAAATACTGAGGTATATAAATCTTTTTGAACTCATCAGATGTAAATGTCAACTGTGCTTCTGGAAATAATATTAAAGTATCTTCTTTGTTTATATTTTGCTATTTAAAGGGTATTTTTTTCCCTTTGAGAGTCTTTCATTGCAATTCTAACTCCCCAATAAGCACCACTCACATAAGATATAACTTTTTCTATGTATTAAATTTTAGATCTACATAGATCCTTCTGTTTGTATAGCCCTGCAATGTTACCTTAAAGGCTTCATTTCTCTAACATTATTTTGTCAACTCTTGTCACTTAAGACTATGTTCTCACTTTATTTAAAGTCATTCAAGAATAACATTGGTAAGTTCTTCTTTCCTAGGACTTTTTGTCTTATTGAGCCAGATGGTGTCAGTGTGTCACAAATTAAAATTTCCAAAGCAAATACATTCATGATATTGTTACTTGGAAAACAAGTTTGTTAGGAAATAAATAACTGCAGTTGTCCCTCAGTATCTGCAGGGGATTTGTTCCAGAACTGCTGGCAGATACCAAAATCCACATATATTCAAGTCTCATAGTCAACCTTTCAGAAGCTACAAATACAAAAATCAACATTCCGTTGAGGAGGGTTTCAAATTCCATGAATACTGTATTTTGGATCTGCTTTGGTTGTTGATGTAGAACCTGCCAATATGGACAATCAACTGTGTTTATTGAAAACAAAACAAAACTCCATGCAAGTGGATCTCTGCACTTCCAATCTGTGTGGTTCAAGGATCAACTCTGTATCTTAAATTTCCAGAGTTATTCCTCATCAATGCCATTTTCTGCATATAGACCAATTTCTTCAAATGCAGAGCAAACGTGTCTGTATTAAAACCTTTAAAGGAGTTTAAAATGTCTAATTAATCTGTTTCCCAAAATTTATGAGAAAAAGGAGTTTAAAATTAAACTGCACTAAAATAAGTCTTCTGAAACCATGCTTCTAAGGGCGTTAAAGAAAATTCATTTTTTCTCTTAAAATGCAAATTAGATATCTAAATAAATAGTTTGCATACCTCAGAGCTCCAGATCATTAGATAAGTCCAGCCCACATTGTGACTGTGTGGATAGTCTCCCACAAAATGGAATTTTGTTCTATCTTAACATTCTTGAAGACATGTCAAAGAACACAGGACCAAAGGAAAATCAACATTATTATACTGTTTATAAAGAAAAAGATTGTTCTACATCATATATGAAATATTTATCACATCTGATTCACCGACTTGGCTTCTTAATTTGGAAAACTAATGCATACATTTGCCTAAGATATCAAGGCCCAACCTACTCCACAAACTGTGGTTTGTAACCTCCAGTTTTAGGAAGGTGCAAACTCAGAACCAAAACTTGAGCTCTCCCACCTCTCATCTAGCACACTTTTAAAGACACTGTCAAACGATTTCCTCAATGGTGATTCTGACATCCAATAAAGGGGGCGTTATATTTTTACTTACTAAAAAATCTCCAGCAACTACCATAGTTTCTGGCATATAGTGAGTAGGCATTCAATAAATTCAATAAATGTATTAGGTCGGTACAAAAGCAATTGCAGTTTTTGCTATTAAAAGTAATACCAAAAACTGCAATTGCTTTTGCACCAGCCTAATATTATGCTAAATTAATTTAAGTTTGGCCAAAAGCTGCCTCTGAATTCCAAATCCCTGTATTCATACATTCCTAAACTGCAATTTAACAAGTATACCCTTGTAACAAATAGCTGAGTTTCAGCCAATTACAGGCAGCCAACTGACCAGGTCATGTCTGATACAATTTGGCTGTGACCCCACCCAAATCTCATCTTGAATTGTAGCTCCCATAATGCCTTTGTGTTGTGGTAGGTACCCAGTGGGAGATAATTGGATCATGGGGGCAGTTTCCCCCATACTGCTCTCGTGGTAGTGAATAAGGCTCACGAGATCTGATGGTTTTATAAGGGGAAAGCCCTTTCACTTGGTCCTCATTCCCCATTGTCTGCCACCATGTAATACTTGCCTTTTGCCTTCCACCACGATTGTGAGGCCTCCCCAGACACATGGAGCTGTGAGTGTATTAAATATCTTTTTCTGTATAAATTACCCAATGTCAGGTATGTCTTTATCAGTAGCATGAACACTAACTAATACAGTAAATTGGTACCAGTGGAGTGGGGTGAGGCTGTAAAGATACCCAAAAATGTGGAAGCAACATTGGAACTGAGTAACAAGCAGAGGTTTGAACAGTTTGGAGGGCTCAGAAGAAGATAGGAATATGTGAGAAAGTTTGGAACTTCCTAGACACTTGTTGAATGGCTTTGACAAAAATGCGGATAATGATATGGACAATGAAATTCAGGCTAAAATGGAGATGAGGAACTTGTTGGGAACTGGAGTAAAAGTGACTCTTGCTATGTTTTAGCAAAGAGACTTGCAGGATCTTGCCCCTGCCCTAGAGATCTGTGGAACTTTGAACTTGAGAGAAATGATTTAGGCTATCTAGAAGAAGAAATTTATAAGCAGCAAAGCATTCAAGATGTGACTTGGGTACTGTTAAAAACATTCAGTGTTAAAAGGGAAACAGAATAAAAGTTCAGAAAATTTGTAGCCTGATGATGCCATAGAAAAGAAAAACCCATTTTCTGAGAAGAAATTCAAGCCGGCTGCAGAAATTTGCATAAAAAACAAGGAGCCGAATGTTAATTGCCAAGACAATGAGGAAAATGTCTCCAGGTCATATCAGAGACCTTTGAGGCAGGCCTTCCCATCAGACGCCTGGAGGCCTAGGTGGAAAAAATGGTTACATGGGCCAGGACCAGGCAACCTGGTCCTGTTGTGTGTAGTCTAGGAACTTGGTGCCCTGTGTCCCAGCCACTCCAGCCATGACTAAAAGGGGCCAAGGTACACCTCAGGTCATGGATTCAGAGACTGCAAACCCCAGGCTTTGACAGCTTCCACATGATGTTGAGCCTGTGGGTGCATAGAAGTCAAGAATCCAGGATTGAGAAAATCCACCTAGATTTCAGAGGATGTATGGAAATGCCTGGATGTCCGGTCAGAAGTTTACTGCAGGAGCAGGGCCCTCTTGGAGAACTTCTGCTAGGGCAGTGTGGAAGGTAATGTGGGGTGGGTGCCCCTACACAGAGTCTCCACTGGGGCACTCCCTAGTGGAGCTGTGAGAAGAGGACCACTGTCCTCCAGACCCCAGAATGGTACACCAACAGCTTGCACCATGTGCATGGAAAAGCCACAGACACTTAATGGCAGACTGTGAAAGCAGCTGGGAGGGAGGCTGTACCATGCAAAACCACAGTGGTGAAGCTGCCCAAGACCATGGGAACCCACGTCTCGCATCAGCATGACCTGGATGCAAGATGACGTGCAGTCAAAGGAGACCATTTTGGAGCTTTACGATATGACTGCCCTGCTGGATTTCCTACTTGCACAGGGCCTATAGCCCCTTTGTTTTGGCCAATTTATCCTATTTGGAATGGCTGTATTTGCCCAGTGTCTGTACCCCCATTGTATCTAGGAAATAACTAACATGCTTTTGATTTTATAGGCTCATAAGCAAAAAGGACTTGCCTTGTCTTGGATGAGATTTTGGGCTGTGGACTTTTGACTTAATGCTGAAATGAGTTAAGACTTTGGGGGACTGTTGGGAAGGCATATTTGGTTTGGAAATTTGAGGACATGAGATTTGGGAGGGGCCAGGGAAGAATGATATGGTTTGGCTGTGTCCCCACCCAAATCTCATCTTGAATTGTAGCTCCCATAGTTCTCTCATGTTGTGGGAGGGACCCAATGGGAGATAATTGAATCATGGGGGCGGTTTCCTGCTTACTGTTCTCATGGTAGTGAATAAGTTTCACGAGATCTGACGGTTTTATAAGGGGAAACCCCTTTCACTTGGCTCTCATTCTCTTTTGTGTGCCCTCATGGAAGACATGTCTTTTGCCTTCCACCATGATCGTGAGGCCTTCCCAGACACATGGAACTGTGAGTCCATTAAACCTTTTTTCTTTATAAATTACCCAGTCTCATGTATATCTTTATCAGCAGCATAAAAATGGACTAATACAATGCACATATATAAAGTAAATGCCTCATCACACTATGTCCAAATAAAGCAAATGCCAAGCAGTAACCAGTCAAACTCTTTCTGTACCTCAGTTCCTTTTTCTGTCTATAAACCCTCCCTGTCAGTGTTGCTGGATGGAGACCTCTGAACCTCTCCTGGTTTTTACTGCTGCTGGATTTATAAATTGTTCATTGTTGGCCAGGCTCAGTGGCTCATGCCTGTAATCAGGCGCAGTGTCTCATGCCTGTAATCCCAGCACTGTGAGAGGCCAAGGCGGGCAGATTACCTGAGCTCAGGAGTTCACAACCAGCCTGGGCAATATGATGAAACCTCATCTCTACTAAAATACAAAAAATTAGCTGGGCATGGCGGCATGCACATGTAGTCCTGGCTACTCAGGAGGCTGAGGCAGGAGAATTGCTTGAGTCTGGGAGGTGGAGATTGCAGTGACTGAGATCGCACCACTACACTCCAGCATGAAAAACAGAGTGAGACTCCATCTCAAAATAAATAAATAAATAAACAAATAAATAAATAAATAAATAATTGTTGCTAAATAAACTCTTATAAATTTAATTTGTCTAAAGTTTTTCTTTTAACAGTTCATTGTCAGACTGGAATCCTAAGTAGACCTCTAACAATCCCTGAAAGCACTCAGTGACCAAGAGAAGGTACCCACCAGGGCCCATTGTGCCCACTGATCTCTCACAGCCGTGGGGGTGTGAGTGAGTTCTCTCTTCTCTTCAAGCTCCACAAATGTGTTTTGAGCTCTCTGAGTTTATTTGAGCACTTTTGATCTAGAGTGAGTATGGAAGCCATGACAGAGACAGGATTGGGTCCTGCAGGGAGGCTTCAGGTGTCTGACTAGACCAGACATAAGCTAAACTGGGTTCAATAGATAGGTGGGTTTACTAGAGGACAGAATCATGGGCTCATCTGGATGCAAAGAGTCTAGAACTCCTCCATCTGGTGCAACAGCCGATTACATTTATAAAATCTATAGACCCAGAATCACTGCTTTTCTAGAGAAACATGTAAATCATACCAAGATAACTTTGAGTTACAATGTCCACAGTAGGAAAATTTCTTACAAAAGGCAAACAGATGCATATTTTTATAGCTACATCAATACAGGTGTTAGCAGTGGTGAATCTGTATAGATCTGCAGCAACCTCAATTCTTGCCTCCTCAGAATAAAAAATTTGATGGAGGGGCATAAAGCCAAAGGAGAGACCAAGGCAAGTTTTAGAGCAGAAGTGAAAGGTTATTTAAAAGTTTAGAGCAGGAACGAAAGGAAGTAAAGTACACTTGGACAAGGGCCAAGTAGACAACTTGAGAGATTGTGTATGGTTTGACCTTTGACTTGGGTTCTTATACATTGGCATGCTTCTGGGGTTGAATTACTTCTCCCCTGATTCTTCCCTTGAGGTGGGCTATCTGCAAGTGCAGTGGCCTGCCAGCACCTGGGAGGGGCTGCATGTGCAGTGTGTTTACTAGAGTTATACACATGCTCACTTTGAGGCATTCTTCCTTCACCTGTCTGAATGTTCCCATAAGGTCATATACCAGTTAAACTCTGCCATTTTTGCCTCTTAGTGTGCATGCTTGAGCCCACTCGCCCGACTCCTGAGATCTTATCAGGAAGCTACTGATGACCAGTTTCAGAAGTTTCTATCTATTGGGAGGCTGCCTTTCCCTGGCACTGGCTGCAACCAATTATTATTTTAGAGAGACAGTTAACAACCACCTGACCATCACCTGGTGGTCCCCTGACATTCCTTGAGTGGGAGCCCTCTCCTGCCCTGCTTATATCTGCCTGACTACCTACTAGTCAGGCAGGGACCAAGAGAATGTCTTTGTACATATTTTAAACCTAATCCAGTGGGTCTTAAACTAAAACAGTCTGTGCTCTGAGATATCTGCCTTTATTGTAAGCAAGCCATTGGAAAAGAGTGTTCACTTTTACACCAGCCATCAGAGGGACCCCTCCCTTTGGCATAAACTATTATTTTTTATTTCCTTTTTTTACTAGAAGAAGCCCTCAAAGTCTTCACTCCCAGGAAAATAATTGACCAAGGTCTCAGAGAGAAGAGAGAATATTTTTCTGGTGGGAGTTTCAAATCAAGTCCAAAAAGTCTCCATGTCTGAACCTATCTAATTGACACTTGGACCATTTTCAGAGAAAAAATTCTAAGAATTAGTGTCCCCTTTTCTCTAGTCAATTTTGCTTCTTTCATAGGAAACTCAAAGTTGATGGATACCCCTCTTCTATATGGAACCCCTGCTGACTATATGGACTATATGCTCTGCCAACTCTGTTCAACACTTTCTTGTTATCATGGTCTTCTCTATGCCCCAACACTCCTTCTCACGAGGAGAATGGTGGAGGGGGGTACCTGAATGAAACTGTGATAGAGTTTGACTCTGTGTCTCACCCAAATCTCACCTGTAGCTCCCATAATTCCCATGTGTTGTGGGAGGGAGCTTGTGGGAGATAACTGAATCATGGGGGTGGGTCTGTCCCATGCTGTTCTCATGATAGTTAATAAGTATCACAAGATCTAATGGATTTAAAAATGGGAGTTCTCTTCTTTTAAATTTAAATTTAAATTTTAAATTTTAAATTTAAAAATGCACAAGTTTTCTCTTTGCCTGCTGCCCTCCATGTAAGATGTGACTTTCTCTTCTTTGCCATCTGCCATGATTGTGAGGCTTCCCCAGCCACATGGAAATGTAAGTCCAGTTAAACCTCTTTGTTTTGTAAATTGCCCAGCCTCAGGTATGTCTTTATCAGCAGCATGAAAATGAACTAAAAGAGTAAATTGGTACTGGAAGTGGGGTGTTGCTGAAAAGTTACCTAAAAATGTGGAAGTGACTTTGGAACTCAGTACCAGGCAGAGGTTGGAACAGTTTGGAGGGCTCAGAAGAAGACAGGAAAATGTGGGAAAGTTTGGAACTTCTTAGAGACTTGTTGAATGGTTTTGACAAAAATGCTGATAGCAATATGAACAATGAAGTCCAGGCTGATGTGGTCTCAGATGGAAATAAGAAACTTGTTGGGAACTGGAGCAAAAGTGACTCCTATTATGTTTTAGCAAAGAGACTGGCAGCATTTTGCCTCTGCCCTGGAGATTTGTGGAATTTTGAACTTAAGAGAGATGATTTAGGATAGCTGGTAGAAGATATTTCTAACAGCAAAGCATTCAAGAGGTGACCTAGGTGCTGTTAAAGGCATTCAGTTTTGTGAGGGAAGCAGAGTATAAAAGTTCAGAAATTTTGCAGCCTGACAATGTGATAGAAAAGAAAATTTTGTTTCCTAAGGAGACATTCAAGCCGGCTGCAGAATTTTTTATATGTAATGAGAAGCCGAATGTTAATCCCCAAGACAATGGGAAAAATGTCTCCAAGGCATGTCAGAGGTCTTCACAGCAGCCCCTCTCATCACAGGCCTGGAAGCCTAAAAGGAAAAAGTGGTTTCATGGGCTGAGCCCAAGGTCCCCGTACTTTGTTCAGCCTAGGGACTTGGTGCCTGGGTCAGAGACACTCCAGCCATAACTGAAAGGGGCTGATGTAAATCTCAGGCTGTGGCTTCAGAATGGGGCAATCTTCAAGCCTTGGCAGCTTTCCACCTGGTGTTGAGCCTGCAAGTGCACAGAAGTCAAGAATTGAGGTTTGGAAACCTCTGCCTAGATTTCGGAGGATGTATGGAAACACCCGGATGTCCAGGCAGATGTTTGCTGCAGGGGCAGGGCTCTCATGGTAAACCTCTGCTAGAGCAGTGCAGAAGGGAAATGTGGGGTTGAGACTCCACACAGAGTCCCCACTGGGGCACTGCCTAGTGGTGCTATGAGAAGAGGGCCACTGTCCTCCAGACCCCAGAATGGTAGATCCATTGACAGATTGCACCATGCACCCGGAAAAGCCATAGATAATCAACACCAGCCCATAAAAGCAGCCAGGAGAGAGACTGTACCCTGCAATGCCACAGGGGCAGATCTGCCAAAGACCATGGGAGTTCACTTCTTGCATCAGCATGACCTAGATATGAGACATGGAGTCAAAGGAGATCATTTTGGAGCTTTAAGATTTGACTGCCCTGCTGCATTTTGGACTTGCATAGGGACTGTAGCCCCTTTGCTTTGGCCAATTTCTCCCATTTGGAATGGTTATATTCACCCAATGCCTGTACCCCCATTGTATCTAGGAAGTAACTAGCTTGCTTTTGATTTTACAGGCTCATAGGTGGAAGGGACTTGCCTTGTCTCAGATGAGACTTTGGACTGTGGACTTTTGAGTTAATGCTAAAATGAGTTAAGACTCTGGGGACAGTTGGGAAGGCATGATTGGTTTTGAAATGTGAAGACATGAGATTTGGGAGGGGCCAGGGGCAGAATGATATAGTTTGGCTCTGTGTCTCAACTCAAATCTCATCTTTTAGCTCCCATAATTCCCACATGTTATGGGAGGAACCCAGTTGGAGATAATTGAAACATGGGGGCAGGTCTTTCCCATGCTGTTCTTGTGACAGTGAATAAGTATCACAAGATCTGATAGTTTTAAATAATTGGAATTTCCCTGCACAAGCTCTCTCTTTGCCTGCCGCCATCCATGTAAGATGTGACTTGCTCCTCCTTGCCTTCCACCATGATTGTGAGGCTTCCCCAGTCACGTGGAACTGTAAGTCCAATTAAACCTCTTTGTTCTGTAAATTCCCCAGTCTCAGATATGTCTTTATCAGCAGCATGAAAACAAATTAATACATTCACCATTACACATGCCACAGTCAAATCCTCTCACAGTTCACGGTTGTATCTGGCACCCCCAAAAGCCAAAGAGGTCAGGATAGGTCATGCAATACAGGAAAGCAGAGCTATGAAGAATCTGTCCATGACTCTTGGAACTTCACAAAGAAAAAAGAACACCCAAAAAGGGATAAGCAGCACCTTTTTTCTGAGTTTTAGGGGTTCAAGTCATTAGAGGCCTTCTCTAGACTTTTTCTTGTACCAAAGATGATGACGAGGGAAGGAGAAATGGGGGAAAGAAAGGTAAATGAAAGATCATTTGTTTTTGTTTTTAAAGACAGGAAGCAAACACAGAAACCAAGTGCATGGTTTTGTTTTGCTTTGCTTTGTTTCTCTTTTGCAGCTCTGAGGAATTTAAGCCAATTCAGAGAGGTCTTGTTATCCATAATCTGGAATTCTTATTAGGATTTTACCAAGTAAGGTGGAGTTGGTACTGATTGGAGTTGAGTCTGATGTGAGAAAGATTGGAACAGACAATGGCAAAAAAACCCAATATGACTATTAAGCGTTCAAATCATAAGGAAAAATCAAGATCAGCTGGTTGTTAATCTTAACTTTACTCAAAAAAAAAAAAAACCCACAATTTCAGCTACGTATCTAGTAATGGGTCTCAGGCTGAAGACTGTTCTCTACCATCCTAGAAGCAGGAAAAACCTTCCCAGTTGGAAGCAAGCTCAGAAAGGAGTTACTTGCCTTCCATCATCATGGAAGCAGGCCAACTTACATTCATTGTTGGAATCAAGTAAATCTCCAAAAAGGTTGTAAAGCAAAATAAACTTTAGATCTCAATCAAATTTTGGGAGATCAGGGATCCTCTTGGCATTGGGGGCAGGTCTCAGAAAATTGTGCTATTGGTTTGAGCCATAAAGACAGCTCAAGCTGTTACCAAGAATCAATAGGAGATTTGTCAAAGGTCAGGGGAACTTCCATTGGTACCAAGAATCAATAGGAGATTTGTCACAGGTCAGGGCAACCTCCACTCAGAGTCCCTTCATCGTCACCCAAATGTAAACTTCAAATATCTTAGACAGGACTCAGCCAGCTTAGAAAGTTTATTTGGCTACAGTTAAGGATGTGCCCATGACACAGGCTCAGGAGGTCCTGATGACATGTGCCCAACATGATTGGGGTACGGCTTGATTTTATACATTTTAGGGAGACATAACACATCAATCAATGTATGTAACATTCACATTGGTTGATCTGGAAGGGCAAGGCAACTAGAAGCAGGGACTTCCAGATCATAGGTAGATTTAAACATATTCTGATTGGTAATTGGTTGAAAGAGTTATTATCCATAGAAAAGAATGTCTGGGTTACGATAAGGGGTTGTGGAGACCTAGGTTTTATTATGCAGATGAAGCCTCCAAGTAGCAGGCTTTAGAGAGAATAGACCATAAATGTTTCTTATCAGACTTAAGGTTTATGTTAACATTAATACTGGAGGGGTATAATGAGGAATGTCCAAACCCCACTTCCTGTCATGGCCTTAACCAGTCTTTCAGGTTAAATTTTACAGGGCCCTGGCCAAGAGGGAGTCCATTCAGATGGTTGCAGAGGTCTCTGAATGTTATTTTTGGTTTATAGAACTAAGAGTTCAACATAAGAACAATGTGCAAATGAAAAAGCAATGTCCATTATTTCATGTATATCAAGCACAGCAATAAAACAAACAAACAAAAATTATGGTTTCAGGTGTTTGCTTTCATGATGACATTTACATGTTATACAAATAGCCAACAGGGAAATAACTTGATGATGGCTAGCTTTGTTTTGTGTTAAAATGTGTCTACTTCAAAATAGTTTCCCAAATCCCTTTGGTAACTTGCACCTTGAAGTTTTGCAAATTTAAATAATAAATATTCATTAAATATCTAGATTATTTTAATATAATATAAAATACTGAAACATTAATTGATAAACATAAGTTTAAATTTATTTACCTTGGACATCTTGTTTTTTATATGGTATGAAGAAGCTAAGTATATTTTGGTCTGTTAAACAAAAATAAATCATATTTTGATGATGCACATATTTTCAGAAATTACAAAATGGTGTTAATCCACAGAATGCTGCTTTGCAAATGCTAATAATTAAAATTCTAATTAATATATGCTAATTAAAACTAGAAATAATAAGAGTAACAACTTCATATGCAAGGAAAGTAAGACAAGTTTTTGTTAATTAAAGCAATGAGGTATGGAAGACTTGTTCTGTTAAGGAAAAAAGTCATTATTGTCCTAAAGTAGAATGACTAGTTGTTTCAAAATGGGAAGAGAAAAAGTATTGGGACAAAGCCTAAGTAAATAAGGGAAGTTGTAGGTTTGTGGAAGATGAATCTTGTGAAACAAATGTTATGTGTTATGAAGCTGGCTAAGATTAAAAAGGAATTATTATCTTTTCTAAACATTTAGCATCAATTAAAAAATTCACTGATGCAAAACTAGAATTTTGTTCTGTCTAACAATTTGATCCTCTGTTAAAACAAATAATGCTCTTGGAGTATTGGTTGGCTCTTAATAGGAGATTGTGAAAGGTGTTCACCTTTTAGGAAATCGGGCTGGGAAGTAAATTTCTTGTTTCACCCTGTTTACTCCTGTGCTTTATGTTGTGTTTATTACATCTTTCATTTACAAAACTGAGTCCTATTTATTAAAACAGGTTTTTGTAATAACTATGTAACTTTCTGTATTTGCCTTTGAAGTCTTTAAGTTATCCCTCTAGTTAAATGAATAACTATTATTTGAGTGGCCTATGCTTCTATTTTGATCAAGTATTTTAATCTCTTGATATTTTTGACAAACTTCCTGAACTCAAAATTCTAAATGAAGTTTTTTTCTTGAGCTTGAGTTAACTTCTGGATTTTCTGGATGTGTCTTTGGAACGTCTCCAAAGGATTTGTCTCTTTCTTTGTATAAAAAGACATATTAAACTATTTGGGCTTATTTGATACATTAAATTATATAAGAAGCATTGTCTAATAATAAGTAATGCTAACATTTTTTGAATTACATTTATATGGACATGTTATTAATATGTATTCCAGGAATTATAAAATAATATGTATTCCAGGAATTATAAAATCCATAGAAATCTGGTCATATTTTTGGACTTGATAAGAAGTTCCAGAACTCTAAGAAAGGAACTGATTGGTTCCATAAAACTACTAACCCAAACATGAAGAAGAACAGAATTAATTGAGTATCAGGAATGTTAAATTAAATTTGGTAGATTTTCATGCTAGGCTGTAAGTGTGTGGCTTTATTATTAAAATATTGCAATTATTAAAATATGCAATTTGAATGAACCTCATAAGTTTGATCCAAGTCAAATTACCTATGATAACCTATTTAAGAAACAATGCTGTATACCTGAATTGGAGAAACAAAGGTGATGTTTATGAAGATCTAAATCTAATGCTAAGTATGATCTCATGAAAACCCTAGACAACTGCCTTCTAGAGTCTTTAAAGTGCTTCCAGAGTCTTTAAAGCTTCCATTATTCCATTAGATCTACTCTATGACTCATCATATAATAGATCTAATGATATTTTGAAAATTAAAAATTGGTTTGGTAATTGTTCTAACATTATGAAAATGGTTTATAACCAATATTTGATTTGTCAAATTCATATTTCATAAGACAGTAAAAAACTCAGGTGATTAATTTCTAGCACTTGAAGTACCATTTAAATACTTACCAACAGATTTCATGAAAGTGCTACTTTCAGTGTATGTTTTCTGGTTGTATAGAAACTTTCCCATGAAGAAAGGCTGATTCTATGATAGTAACTAAGAGATTTTTGCAAAATGTGTTTCCTTTATGGGACATTGCTGGAGAAATCTTCAGTGATAGAGGTATTCATTTCACTGCAGTTAGACAAGGTATTACAAATACAATGGCAATAAGCAAAGCTAATTGAATCAACTGTACTGTCTTTGTCAAAGGTATTAGCAGACTGATGATAATTAGATCTATTCTTACTAGAAAACATACATTGACCCCTAATGAAATAATTACTGAAAGGCCTAAACCCCTAATAATAAAATCATGTGTATCTCCTGCTCTTAGAAACTCTGACAAGATTCAGCATTGCAAGGCTTGAATGCATTATGCCTAAGTGTATTTTTCACCACATAAAATAAGCCTTTAAATGGCCTGCCAACTGATGACAACCACACCTTTCACAATCTAGAACCTGAAGATTATATCATACGGATATGACACCAGAGAAAAACCACCATTGAACTGCATCGTAAGGAATCATATCAAGTTCTTTTACTTTTTAAATTTCAGCTTTTATTTTAGATACAGGGGTACAAATGTAGAATTGTCACATGGGTATATTGGATCCAGGTAGTGAGCATAGTACCCAATAAGTAGTTTTTCAACCATGCACACTCTGTGCCTCCTCCTTCTAGTAGTCTGCAGTGTCTACTGTTCCTATGTTTATGTGCATGTGTGCTCAGTATTTTGCTCCCGCTTGTAAATGAGAACATGCAGTATTTGGTTTTCGTTCCTACATTAATTTGCTTAGGATTATGGTCTCCAACTCCATCCACGTTTTTGTGAAAAACATGATTTCATTCTTTTTTATGAGTGTATAGTATGTCATAGGGTATATGTGTCACATTTCCTTTATCCAATTCATCATCAATGGGCACCTATTTGCTTCCATTTATTTACTATTGTGAATATCACGACAATGAACATATCTGTATTCCTTTGGGTATATACCCAGTAGTAGGATTACTGAGTCAAGTGGTAGCTGCTTTAAGTTCTTTGAGAAATCTCCAGACTGCTTTCCACAGTGTCTGAACTAATTTATATTCCCACAAACAGTGTATAAGCATTCTCTTTATTCTGCAGCCTCACCAGCATCAGTTGATTTTTACCTTTTTAGTAATAGCCATTCTGACTGCTATGAGATGGTATTTTATTGTGGTTTTGATTTGCATTTTGTGATGATTGGTGATGATGAGCATTTTTTTCATGTTTATTGGCTCCTTGTATGTCTTCTTTTGAAAAGTGTCTACTCATGTCTTTTGCCCACTTTGTAATGGTGTTATTTGTGTTTTTTGCTCACTGATTTAAGTTCCTTATAGATTCTGGATGATATTAGAACTTGGTTGGATGCAAAGTTGTGACTATTTTCTCCTGTTATGTAGGTTGTCTGTTAATCCTGTTGGTAATTTCTTTTGCTGTGCAGAAGCTCTTTCATTTAATTAGAACCCATTTGTCAATGTTTGTTTTTGTTGCATTTGCTTTTGGGGACTTGGCCAAAAATTCTTCACCAAGGCCAATGTCAAGACGGGTACTCCCTAAGTTTGGTTTTCTTCTAGGATTTTTACAGTTTGAGGTCTTGTATTTAAATCCTCAATCTATCTTGAATTAATTTTTGTATGTGCTGAAAGGTAAATATCTAGTTTTATTTTTCTGCATATGGCTAGCTCATTATCCCAGCATCATTTATTGTTTAGGGAATGCTTTCCCCACTGTTTGTTTTTGTCAGCCATGTTGAACATCAGATGACTGTAAGTATGTGGCTTTATTTCTGTGTTTTCTATTCTGTTCCATTGATCTATGTGTTTGTTTTGTACCAGTACCATGTTGTTCTGGTTACTATAGCCTTATAGTATAATTTGAAGTTAGGCAGTGTTATGCCTGCGGCTCATCCAAACCAATCCTAAGCATACCGAGTTCTTAACAATCATATGGCAGCAATAATACAGGGCCTTGAGTCTTGGGTCCACGTCTCTCCCTCCAGACTCTTGCGACTACACAGCCATTGGAGACCTCAAAAGTAAAACTAGGCAGGGAGGTTTTTCCTCAGAAGCAGGGAACCTAATGTTGGATATGTTATGTCAAACCTAAATCCTTACATGATCTTAAAAACTGTCTGCTTTACCCTTTAACAAATTTTACTAATATCCCAACTGCAGTATCTATTCTTTTCTACAGGGTTAGGCTTTTAGATTTAGGTATCCAGATTCCTTGTTAAAATATAACAGAAAGCAAAACCTATAGTATGGGTTTTGCAGTAATATTATACCAGAAATTAAATTTAAAAACCAAAATAAATGTATTTTGACCTTTTGTAGACAAATTTATAACCCTAATCCCCTAAATGTTGATAGCCTCCAATTATGCAATAATTCAGTAATGGAGCCTAGGATAAATATTACTAGTGCTTCCCTACTAGTTAGTCCTAATGCATGAGGCATCCCACAGGGAACTGTCTGTGGTGCCTCTCTAAAATATATATTTACATAGAGAGCATAACAATGAAAAATAAGGTACTATAACAGTGAAAAATAAGGGACCACTGTGTTTTAGAGATTCTAACAGTATCACTGTCAATCTATAACCAGTTAGAAGCTGAACATTGTACACCTTTTAATTTGCACCACAGAATAAAGAGAAATTTGCCAGCAAATGTAAATCCCACCAAATTGGCATCTTTTTGTAGAATGCTTCTTACTTGACTTGGCATACACGTAAATAAAGTTAGGAATCAAAATTTGTCTCAAACATTAGCCACTATAGTTGATTCTACAGTTGCCCAGAAAACTTCTTTAAATTATCTTGCTAAAGTTATTTTAGATAACATGACTGTATTGCACTATTTGTTGGCTGAACTAGGGGTATGTGCAATAGCTAACACCTCCTGCAACACTTAGATAAATAAATCTGGTATGACAGAAACTCAGTTTCAGGAAATCAACAAAAAAGCTACTTGGTTAAAACAAGGAGATTTTGCTTTTGTCTCATTTTTTATATATTTGATTTTTATATATCTGATTTTGATTTTGATTGTTTCAATTTGTAAAGTTTATATACTTTAGTTTCTTAGTATTATCCTCTTTATAGCTGTCATAATGGATTCCTTGGTGCACTGTAGTCCCTCAAGAGTCTCAGATGCTCTGGATGCAGCCATCCACTGTATGTCAAATGGTCTCACTAAAGTTAGAACAATGACAACACAAAAGGGACATAAAACATCATTCAGCTAGCCTGATGTCATAAATAGTGAATTCCATAATGAGACCAAACAAGTCCATTCTGACGGTGACAGAGAAGGGAATCAATGCCCAAGGTTTTGGTCAATCTTTCAAAATTGAGAGGACACCAAAACAGTGACTTGTTAAAGCAGCCTATAGCTGCTTTTGTACTTTGAATTTCTGTATCATGAACTACAACCTAATTTACTAAGTAAACAAATTGCAACCTAACAAGAATATATTTTTGTAACGAACTGCTGAGTCTCAGCCAATTGTGGAAGCCAAGCTTCAGCCAATCATAGGCTGCAAACTGGTCAGACAATGTACACATAAGGCAAATGCCTCATCATACCATGCCAATAATGCAAATGACAAGTTGTAACGAATCAAGCTGGTTTTTACCTCAATTCCTTTTTCTGTCTGTGAATACAGCCTGCCCACATTGCTGGGTGGAGCTCTCTAAACCTCTCCCAGTTCTGAGTGCTGCCTAATTCGTGAATCATTCTTTGCTCAAATAAACTGTTCTAAATTTCATTTGTCTAAAGTTTTTCCTTTAAAAATAGTAACTGAATGAATGAATTTCTTCTAAGGATTAATCTGATGTCTGTATTAGAAAAATAAGTAATATCAAAAGGTATTTTATTTAGTTTGTAGCCTCACGCAAACATTCCAATATGATGTGATGAGGTGCAGAAATAGTGAATGTAGAAATAAAATAAAAAGCTAGCTAAAGAGATATTATTTAGAAGAGAGCTCTTACGTGCTTGTCTTGTGGCTTACACCATTACCTCAATCAGGAGAGCTCAGTATCTTTTCCTTTCCTTTCCCATATCTAATTATTCTAAATCTTAGATAGAGAGACTTAAAGCCTATTTATTCCATTAGGTTTGCTCTGCTTACCAGATTCACATCATTCGTTTTCTTTTCTGAACTCTTTCTAATATCTGTTCACACAGTGGAAACAGCTTTAGCTTTAACGAACAACAGGCCCATGGTAAAACTCAGCCCTGTCAATCACTGTCTCTGTGGCTGTAGGCAATTTTCCTAATGTTTCTGACACTCACCATCTTCATATCTTATAGGATTATTGTAAGGATTAAAATTAATAAAATCAAACATTTAGTTCATCTGAACCTTCATTCCTACTGTGCTTAAAATGAAGTTCATACATATTGGCACTAACTCTTTTTATCTAAATACTTCAGTTTGCCACTTACCCAAAGTCAGATATTTAATGACGGTCATATAGGTCATTTAGCCTCCATAGCACAGTTTATACTTAATATATTCTTGAGTGTTATTTGAATTTTTTGAAACTAGTTCATATATAGTTTTATTCTATACTATTTGATTTGAGAAATACTCATAGTAATGCCCCAGGCTTGTGGGTGTTTAAAGTGCTGGGGTAATGGAAATAATAATGAGTTAATCCAGTACCAATATCTTCATTTTTTTTTCTGGATTCCTTATATGTCATGCTAGAAGAAAATATTGGAATTCTACACAGTAAGGATTAGTTTTTATGAAGTTCTGAGGAGTATGACATATACTAAACCTGAGGGTTTTTAAGGTTATTTTTATGCTAATGGTAAGTGAAAAGTTAACATTTATTATCAAATAAAAGTGTCCTTTGGTTCTAGCATGTGTTTCCTTTATTATTCTGCAGCTACATAACTCAACCAAAACTTTGTAGACTTTAAGCCACATTCATTAGTTGGTGATAAAAGTGATTGATTTTTGATAAAAAGTAGAGATAGTGAAATTATCTACGTTTCAAAGTTTTTATAAATTTAATATTACAATAATATATTTAGATATGACGCCAAGATTTTGAAGTATCTTATGTAATGCAAAAGGGTAGAAACTATTATAAAGCACATTTATATTTTGCCATAAATTATAACTTGTCTTCAGAAACCTGAAGTGTGTGCATTTTTTCTTAGTGACATAATGCGTATATTCATTTTTCTGCTATCCTATAACTCACTCAGACATATGAGGATTAAAGTTCTAGTGAGTTGAAACCACATATTTTACTATATTTTGTCAGATTGCTCTTTGCTAAACATCTACAAGGAAATTTATGAAGGCAGGGTATCTATAAATTATATAAATTAACAAATAGCTCAGCAAGATTTAAAACTGTGATCAATTACGTTCACCTTTATTTACAAATAACAAGCTTTATTATGTTTCATTCTAAGCTAGTTAGTTCCTTTTAAATCGGAAAATTAAAAATACATTGTATGAAACAGAATAATATAATTTGCTATTTAGACTGGTAGAAAAATCACTCAGGTGAAAAATTGCACCATCTTGTTACTGTCATATGATTTCTTATTAGCTACTAACCTGCACTGCCCTTCAGTGAATAAGGTGCTTCTATACATTTCATGTCACATTTGCACAAAAGTTCAGCTTTTCCAAAATGTTAAATGGTATTTGTTGAAAGTTTCTAAAAGAGTCATGATTGTTTTTAAAAGACAGGGTCTAATTCTAGAGCGCAGTAGCATGATCATAGCTCAATGCAGCCTCGAATTCCTGGGATCAGCCAATCCTCCTGCCTAAGAACCATGAATTTCCAGAGAAGGTTGGCCAATATGAAAACTGTGGCAGAAAGCCTGATGTTCCTTGATGACCTGGGGCCAGGCTCATGTAACCCATTTCAAGAGTCCAAAACTCAGTCACGTGCTTAGCAACTAATGACAAAATCCAAACTCAAAATACTGGTAGAGTGCACAGGAAAGATATTACATGAATCTGTGTAGAATTCATTAACAATATATTTAAACTATACAACTCTCTTAATAAAAATAGAAAAGTCAAGATGCTATGTAAATATCATTGGTGTATTCCAAAGCAAAAATTTTGGAAACATCCATACTTTTTAATTGAAATATTGATGAATAAGGTGAAGAGTTTGAGATTTAGCTTTATAATGTATATTGCATTTTAAAAACAGTCATAAGCCATTCTTAGAAGAATAGGAAGTGTCTGTGATTTTAAGATGCTGCATTATATGCTCAATAGTAAACCAGATAAATATGGACCCTACCCTTGAACTCGACATATACTAGGAAATATAAATATTAAAAAACTTAGTTACTCTTATTTCAAAAGAGGAAACACTGTTTTAGAAGCAAAAAGTAGGGAGGAATACAAGTTTGTTGTGCTGTTAATTAAATCAGCTATACTACACTCTACTCACATGTAAGTTTTTACATATAACCTAGGAAGGAATGTGTATGCATCAGTGGGAAGAGAAGTACTCTGCACTGGTCAGACAAAACATTCAAATCAAACCTGTTCATAAATATGCTGGAAGTCATTGTAGGCAGTACATTAAGAGATTTAGGGTAGTCAGAAGACAGCATCTGCCAAGAAAGACCACAAATTCAGTTTTTAAATGTTGATTATGAAGTAACACAACATATAAGTGAAAATGTCGATGGAAAATCTGGGGAGGGAGAGCACGCCCAAAGATCAGAAAAATTTGGAAATGTGGATGCATATTTAAACATAATCTGTAAATACATAGATAATGAACATGTCAGTGATTACAAGAAAAGGGAATAGAAAGAAAATAGAAAGCTTTGTCTAGTTCTTATAAAAATACTATAAAATAAAAAGGAGTTATATGTACTCCAGTACAATGTTTTCACTCAAGAATCCCTTATCATTTGTTGTGTTTGCACTGAATATGCCATAATTTTAAAATACTTCTTCCCTATTCAGTTAATTATCAAAATTAAAACTGGTTAAATAACAGGGTGAAAACATATTATTTCTATTTCATAATAAATGCTATTGCAAACTATAAAAAATAAATTCTAACATATCCTTACCTAGTAAATACATGTGAACTACATTTATAGCAAACAAATGCACTGAAATAAATACACCCTAAAACCTATGATTCTGTAGTGGTCTGAGTTATGGAAAAGGTGGTATCCCAAAGACTGAAAATAATCTCAGACAAGGAAATACAGACCACTGTTGATAGGGACAGGAGGCAGAGAAATTCTAAGCAGAAAAGGGCAGGTCCCTGGTGAAGTCCCACCCTCAAGCCACAAAGCCTGAGACCATGGCACAAAGTGAGAACTTATATCCGTGTTTTCCTGCTCCAATGTTGCCTTTTTCAAAACAATGCATGGTCCACCCTGCCCCCCATCCTGTGCCCATAAAAACCCCAGGTTCAGCTGGCAGAGTAGGGAAAAGCAGCTGGACATTAGAGACTATGACTGGATGTTGGAGAGAAGCAGCTTGACTTCAGACAGACAGCTTGGTGATGTAACTTCAGAAAAGAATCTGGCTGGAGATGGCTGGACTTCAGGGGAACATTACCTTACTGCCCCTTTTCCTTTTCAGTTCCCCTTCCTGCTGACAGCCACTTTCACTAGCAATAAAATCCCCTGCATTTACTGTCCTTCACTTTATTCGTCTGACCTCATTTCTCCTGGACATTGAACAAGAGCTTGGGAGCCATGAGTGTGGATACAAAAGGCTGTCACATTGACCCTTTGCCAAAAATGCAGAGAGCCCACTGAGCTGTTAACACTTAAGCCATCATAGATGCTAGAGCTAAAAGAGCATGGTAACACTCCCTCTGGGGCTTCAGGGGTTGTGGGGACACCCCCTTGATGCTTCTGTGGGGCCTGTGTGCTGTTCGTTCCTGCCAGCACCCAAAAGTGCTTGCCCCAGCTCCTGCACTCTCTCACCTGCATGCTCCCTCCCACAAGGGATGAAACGCAGCAGGTCCAAGTGAGCAGAGTTCACCCCTGCCAGTGCCAAGGCAACCAGCTGGTTCCAGCACTCATGCACTCCAGTTCCCACCTTGTTCACTGATGCACTCCCTCCCACAAGGAGTTGAAAGCTGTGGGTTGAGTTAATGAGGCAACCTTGTTGTGAGTCCCATGAAGGGGTCAGGAAAATATCCTGCTTCACCAGTAACTAAAGGCTTTTAGCTATATATATTCCAGCAAACCAAGACAAAAACCAAAATTAACAGGTAAAAGCATGATAAAAAGGAATTTCAGTTGGTAAGAAAATTGTAAAGCCCAGCAAAGTAACTACATCTATTACCAGAATAAGAGAAATGATATAAAAAAGTTTTAAGCAAAATGATGTAAATACAGTGTCCAGATTAAATGTTAAAAATTGGTAAGTGAGAGACAGTGGGAAAAAATAAATGAGACAGATCATTTTATGTTACTTCAATATTTGTAAATAGTCTTTCATTCTTATCAGTTAGAGAAAGTAAGGTCCAAAAATCAATTTAACTGTAATGATGTTTTTCCAAATGAAAGAAAAAACTTTGTTTGGCAAAATCTAGAACTAAATGATTGGGTTGGGGAAGAGGGAACATTAAAAACCAGGAAAATAACTTAGTTTAATATTTATCTGATGTTGAATCTGAGAGAAGCTTTTCTAAAAATAAATGCAAATACATAAAAAAGAAAAAATCAGTAGATATGATTGCAGAAATTTTTAAAACTATGTATCTAAAATAAAACATTACATTGAAAGGTAGATGACAAACTGAGGGAGATTATATAATGTATGCAGGGCACATAAAGATAATACATACATTATATAAACATATAATATTTATTTAAAAATATAATATATTTCATATTAAAGTCTTATAATTAATTTTTCTAAATTTGTGGGACGTGGAGCAAGATGGCCAGAGTCTTCCAGCGATCGCTCCCCCTGCAGGAGAAGCAAACTGAACAACTATCTACACAAGAAAGCACCTTTATAAGAACAAAAAATTGGTTGAGAGATCACAGTACCTGGTTTTAACATCATATCAAGGAAAGAGGTACTGAAAGGGTAGGAAAAACAGTCTTGAATTGACAAGATCACCTTCCCTCATCCCCCTTCAGCAACCTCATGACACAGAGAGAATCTGGAGAATCTGTGTCCTTGGAAGAGGGAGAGTGCAGACATTAAGGGACCTTGCATTGAAATTCAGTGCTAACTGAAAACAACAGAGGGCAGAATTCACACTGGAAAACAACAGAGGGCAGAATTCAGCCAGTACCCAGAAAGGGAGCACTTAGATCAGCCCTAGCCAAAGGGGAATCATTCCATCCCGGCAGTTGGAACCTGAGTTCTAGCTAGACTCACCACAAAGGGCTAAAGTGCTCCGGGGTTTGAAATAAATTCAAAAGGCAGTATAAGCCACGAGAATTGCAATTCCTGGGCTAGTCCTGCTGCTGTGCTGGGCTCAGAACCAGTGGATTTGGGGTGCACACAACCTAGCGAGACACCAGCTGGGGTGGCCAAGGGAGTGCTTGCATCACCCCTCCCACAACCACAGGCAGCACAGCTCATAGTTCTGGGAGAGACTCCTACTTGAGGAGAGGAAAAGGAAGTTTAAAAAGTACATTGCCTTGCAATCTGGATACCAGCTAAGCTACAGTAGAACAGGGCACTGGGTGGTGTCCTGAGACCTTATTCTGGGTTCTAGCTCCTGGACTTTTCTGGACACATCTTGGGCCAGAAGGGAACCGGCTGCCTTGAAGGGAGGGATCCAGTCCTGGCAGGATTCATCACCTGCTGACTAAAGAGTGCTTTGGGCCTTAAGTAAACATCAGAAGTACCTAGGCCATATTCAACACAGTTCTTGGGTGAGACCCAGAGCCATGTTGGCTTCAGGTGTAACCCAGCCCATTCTCAGCTGTGGTGGCCACAGACAGAGACTTCCTCAGCTTGAGGAAAGTAGAGGGAAGAGTAAAGGGGACTTGTCTTGCAGCTTGGGCACCAGCTCAGCCACAGTGGAGTAGAGAACCAAGCAGGATCCTAGAGTTCCCAGTTCTAGGCCTTGGCTCCTGGATGGCACTTCTGGACATGCTCCGAGGTAGAAGAGAAACATTGCCCTGAAGAAAGAGACCGAAGCCTGGCAGCATTCACCACAAGCTGACTGAAGAGGCCTTGGTCCTTGAGTGAACATCAGCAGTAGCCAGACAGTACTCACTGTGGGCCTTCTACACGAAGAAAGAAGAGGGAAGAGTAAGAAGAACTTTGTCAAGTGTCTTTAGTGCCAGCTTAGCCACAGTAGAATAGAGCACAGAGTAGATTCTTATGTTTCCTGACTCTAGGGCCTGGCTCCCATATGGCATTTCTGGAACAGCTCCGGGCTAGTGGGGAGCTTGCCAACTTGAAGGGAGGGACACAAGCCTATTTACCACCTGCTGCCTGAAAAACTCTTGGGCCTTGAAAGAACACCAATGGGAGCCAGTCAGTGGTCATCACAGGCCTTGGGTGAGACCCAGTGTTGTGCTGGCTTCAGTTCTCAATCAGTGCAGTCTAAGTTATGGTGGCCACAGAGGGACTTGAGTCACCTCTCCCCCAGCTTGAGGCAGCTCAGCACACAGAGAGACAGACTCTGTTTGTTTGAGGGAAATAAGGGAGAAAAAAGTTTCTGCCTGGTAATCCAGGGCATTTTCTTGGATCTTTCCCAAGACCACCAAGACACTGCTTCTACAAGTCTGCAAGAATCACAATGTTACTGGACTTGGGGTAACCACTAATGCAGATATGGCTGCAGTGACAAAGGACTTAGATCACAACACTAAATTCCCTTTGAATACTTAGAAAGCCTTCCCAAGAAGGAGTACAAACAATCCAGACTGTGAGACTACAATAAATACCCAAACATTGACAAATATTCACAAGCATCAAGACTACCCAGGAAAATGTGACCTCACTAAACAAACTAAATAAGGCACCAGTGACTAATCCCAGAGTGACAGAGATATGTAATTTTTCAGACAGAGAATTTTAAAATAGCTGTTTTGAGGAAGCTCAATGAAATTAAAAATAACATAGAGAAGGAATTCAGAATTCTATCAGATAAATTTAACAAAAAGATTGAGATAATTAAAAAATATCAAGGAGAATTTCTGGAGCTGAAACATTGAATTGACAAACTCAAGACTGCATCAGAGTCTCTCAACAGCACAATGGATAAAGTGGAAGAAAGCACTGAGGACAGGCCATTTGAAAATACATAGTCAGAGGAGACAAAAGAAAAAATAATGAAAAGAAATAAAGCATGCCCACGAAATCTAGGAAATAGCCACAAAATGGCAAATCTAAGAGTTACTTGTCGTAAAAAGGAGGTAGAAAGAAAGATTGGGGTAGCAAGTTTATTAAAATAGATAATAGCAAAGAACTTTCAAAATCTAGAGAAAGATAACAATATTTCCAAACTCACTCTATGAGGCCAGTATTACCTTATTACTAAAGCCAGAGAAAGACACGTGAAAAGAAGAAAATTACAGGACAATAGCTCTGATGAACATTGATGAAAATGTCCTCAAAGGAATACTAGCAAACTAAATTCAACAACATGTTAGAAAGATTATCCTTATGATCAAATGGGATATATCCCACAGATGGTCCAACCAGCATATGCAAATCAATGAATGTGATACATCGTATCAACAGAATGAAGGGTAAACCCATATGATCATTTTAATTGATGTTGAAAAAACATTCCATAAATTCCAACATCCTTTATGATAAAAACCCTCACAAAACTGGGTGTAGAAAGAACATAACTGAACACAATAAAAGCCATATACAACAGACTAACAGCTAGTATAATTCTCAATGGGGAAAAACTGAAAGTCTTTCCTTTAAGAACAAGACAAGGATGTCAGTTTTCACCGTTATTATACAACATAGTACTGGAAGTCCTAGCTGGGGCAATCAGACAACAACAACAAAAATAAAGGGCATCCAAATTGCAAAGGAGAAGTCAAATTATCCTTATTTTCAGATGATATGATCTTATATTTGGAAAAACCTAGATTCCAACAAAAAAACTATTAGAACATACAAAAGTCAGTAACATTTATATATGCCAACAGCAAACAACCTAAAAAGAAATGAAGAAAGTAATCCTAATTAAAATAGCTAAAAAGCAAATAAGATACCCAGGAATAAACTTAACCAAAACATGGTTACAATGAAAACTGTAAAACATTGATACAAGAAATTGAAAAGGACACACAATAAAAGGAAAAATATTCCACATTCGTGGATCAAAAGAATCAATATTGTTAAAATATTTTTACTACTCCAAGCAATCTACAGATCAATAAAACCCCGATCAAAATACCAATGACATTCTTCACAGAAATAGAACATACAATTCTAAAATGTATATGGAATGGCAAAAGACCCAGAATAGCCAAAGCCATCCTCAGTAAGAAGAGCAAAACTGGAAGAATCAAATTACCTCACTTGAAATTACATTATAGAGCTATTGTAACCAAAAAAGCATGGTACTGGCATAACAATAGATACATAGGCCAATGTAATAGAATAGAGAACTCAGAAACAAATTCACATATCTACAGGGAACTCATTTTCAAAAAAGGTGTCAAGAACATACACTGGGAAAAGAACAGTCTCTTCAATAAGTGGTGCTGGGAAAACTGGATATCTATAAGAAGAATGAAACTAGACCCTTATCTCTCACCACATGCAAAAATCAAATCAAAGTTGATTAAAGACTTAAATCTAAGACCTCAAACAATGAAACTACTACAAGGAAATGTTGAGAAAGCTCTCTAGGACACTGCTCTGGATAAAGGTTTCCTGAGCAATACTCTACAAGCACAGGCAACCTAAGCAAAAATGGACAAATGGAATTACATCAAACTGATAAACTTCTGCACAACAAAGGAAACAATCAATAAAGTAAAGAGAGAGACAACCCACCAAATTGAAGAAAATATTTGCAAACTACCCAGCTGACAAAGGATTAATAACCAGAATATATAAAGAGCTCAAACAACTCTATAGGAAAAACATCTAACAATCTGATTTAAAAATTTATTCTCAAAAGAAGACATATGAATTGCCAACAGGTTTATGAGAAGGTGCTCAACATCATGATTATCAGAGTAATACGAATCAAAACTACAATATTATCCCACCCCACTTAAAATGGTTTTTATCCAAAAATGAGCAATAATGAATGCTGGCAAGGATGTGGAGAAATGGGAACCCTCATACACTGTTTGTGGGAATGTAAATTAGTACAGCCACTATGGAGAACAGTATGGAGATTCCTCAAAAAACTAAAAATGGTGCTATCATATGACCTAGCAATCCCACTGTTAGGTATATACCCCCCCCCCCAAAAAAAATTAGTATATCAAAAAGATATCTGCACTTCCATGTTTATTGCAGCATTATTCACAATAGCCACGATTTGGAAGCAATTTAAGTGTCCATCAACAAATGAATGGATAAAGATGTGGTACATATACACAATGGCGTACTGTTCCACCATTAAAAATAATGAGATCTTGTCATTTGCAGCAATGTGAATGAAAGTGGAGGACATCATGTTAAGTGAAGTAAGCCAGGCACAGAAAGACAAACTTCACATGTTCTCATTTATTTGTTGTAGCTAAAGATTAAATGAAATTGACTCATGGAGAGAGAGAGTAGAATGATGGTTTCTAGAGGCTATGAAGGATAGTTGGTGGGGGATGGTTTATGGGTACAAAAATACAGTCAGATAGAATAAATACGATTTAGTATTTGATGGCACAACAGGGTGACTACAGTTAACAATAATTTATTGTATATTTTAAAAATAACTGAAACAATATAATTGAAATATCTGTAACATAAAGAAATGATAAATGCTTGAGGAGATGCATACTCACCTACCCTGATGTGATTATTACATATTATATGTCTATGTGAAAATATTTCATGTACCCCATAAATATATACACCTACTATGTACCCATAAAAATAAAAATTTAAAATTTAAATAAATTACATAACCCTCAAAAAATCCTATTGGATACATCAGGAATGGTGCATATAAAAGGAATTTACAAAAGTCAAAATTATAACTGACAAATCTGTATTGTCTTAGTTAATCAAAAAACATCAGATCAATAAATTAATGAGATGTTTTTCTTCCTTAATATTTGTGAAATTAAAATAATAATAACGAATATTCTATCCAGTGTAAGCAAGGGCACAAATTTTAAGATCCTACTGGTAAATTTCTATAATATTTTTAGAATTTATTTCTCAATATACATTAATGACCTTTATTTTGATTTGAAAATTTTGTTGATAGGATTTTATACTATTAAAACAACCAGAATCTCACCCTAATTGTATTACAATGTCAGTGACTGTAAAATGATAAAACATTATAAACAACCTAAATGTCCAATGACAGGAGATGATTTGAATACTATAAATCAAGTAAAGAATACTATGCATCCTTAAATATCATTTCACACTAGTAATATATATAACTGAACTGTGTTTTAGTGAAACTGTATTATAGTGTGCAAAACTTGCAAGAGTTATGTTGATATGGCTCCACAGCCCATTAATCTTCCCATATCAATTTACCAGTGGACAGGTAAATTTGAGAGAATAAATTCATCGGGGTGGCTCATACAATATCAAAAGTGAAAAATAAGCTGAGAAAATTAGAATGAAAAGAAAAATTATAACTGCCTTAATGATTGCCTACAGGTCTACCAATAACATACATTTAATCTAGCTTTGCAATAAATTAACACATGGATAGATGGTAGGATTAGCATTGTTCTTTGGCAATCTCTCTGTGTGACTTTCAGATATATTTGGACTGAATACACAGAAGTGATTCAGCTAGGACTCCACCACAAAACAGTTCAGTTAGATCATTTCAGAAGCCAATGTGTTCTGCTACTTTTTTGACAAATATTACTTAGAATACATTTTGTCAAAATTCTAGTTTTTAGATTGACTGGGAATTTTGCCCAATCACATTCACAAGGCTTTGCATCATCCACTTGCCCAAAAGCCCAGGAACCCAAGCCCGCAAACATTACCATGCACCAGCTTCATCAATCATTTTGACAGCCACTGGGCTGGATCAGAGACCCATAACAAGTTACATTCTTTAGGAAAATCAACTCAGTACAAAACTATTGAGGAAGAAAGCTTTTCATCTTCACCTAGTCTGCCTATTATGTTTTTATGCTTTTTCTCATAAAAAGAGAAAATGAAATCAGCAAGTACAATGACAGGTAAAGACAGGTAAAAGTGACAATCTGTCAACTTTTACTCTTCTTACAACACTTTTAAATCCTATCTGTCCTTTCTAAATCTTCTGTTTCAGGAATATTACATTTTCCATTTTTTTAAGCTTACGTAATAGCTGTTTTAATTTATTCATTAGCTCCTCTAAACAAGTCAGATTGAAGATTGCTTGAAAATACTGTCTTTTTTCCTTGCACTGAATCCTCATTATCACATTTGTAGTTTACAAGCTTCATGACTAAGTTAACATATGTTAATTTTAGTACATAAAAATTGTTATGAGAATGGTTTAAGAAAATAGATGAAAAATCATATAAATCCATTTAGATAAAGTGTGAGTTATTTCCTTAATTATGAAACTGACAGTTTTTGGCTTCTTGTAGTCAACTAAAACTACTCTTATCTGAAAAGTAAAATTGCCAATTTATCCAGTAAGGAACAGTTAACTAATGTGCTGGAAATGCCTTTTAATTTTCACCCAAGTAGAAGATTTTCATTGTTTGCACTTAAAGCTCAGGACAGGATATATTGTTTTCCCTCCTAGAATATTTGAGACAAAATTGTCTTTTAAAACGTGGCATAAGCAAGTTATTACACATAAAGAGAACTTTTGAGTAATCCTTTCCTCAATGATTATTATAACTTTAAGTATTATTAATATCAAATAATGTTAGTACTTAAGGTACTTTTCTCTCCTTTGGTTTTCAAATTTTCCAAAGCCAGTATACTTTATCAAAATTATTAGTTTTAATATGTTTTTCCGGTAATAAGGCTACTTGGAGCTCTTCAACCATGTATGTTTTAAAATTATGTTTTACACTGATAAAAACTACTTAGTGGCCTAGGACATTACGTTTTTCTACTTATTTGAGAACTTCAATTATTTCAAACATAGACCTATCCTGAAGCACACTTTTAATGAATGGCCAAAGTTGTAGGGGATGGAGCAGGGGAAGTTCTCCTGATTCTGAATGGTTCACCTTTATAACCACGTAGAGTGGCAAATATAATTGCTTTAATGAGCTTATATGAATTTTTTTAATCTTATTGAGTACTTTGATGGAGTGAGGGAATAAGTAAAAGATTTTTTAAATAACCTTAAAATATAATTTGAACAAATATCTCAGTAGAAAAGCAAAAATATGTTTAATAATCATAGTTAAGGAACAAATAACTTTCAAAATAACTAATGTTAATTACAGTTCAGGTTTCTTGACAGTCTTCTGAAAAACTGCAAGTGGCACTTGTTTGTGGAAGAAACAGTCTCCTGACAGTCTTCTTTCACAGTCATTGCTTGTGGGCTTTATTATTAATAGAGTCACTTTGGTGACTGTCATTATGTCTTTCCAAGCTTTGACTCTGCCAGCAAGTATCGATCTGCAAATGAGCTACCCAAGGACAATGGCATCATTAATTGCTAAGTGATCTGAAAAACAATTTGAGACCTCCAGGCTCATGTACAAATGGATAGTCAGAGCTGTCAGCCTAATCAGATACGGTTGTGCTTGCCTGTGGACCAGTTGGACTCCTCAGAAAAGTCCTCCACATCTGTCAGTTTCCCACTTCTCACAATAAAGCACATGTCAAATCTCATAATTCTAGCTTCTTGTTTTCTAAGAAATCTTTGTGCATATACATAAGCAAGAATCATATTGGCTCAACATAGTCCTTCAGAGGGAGCTCAATTAGAAGCCAGGCTCAGAGAAAAATATTAAAAATTCATGAGTGTAAGAAAGGTTCAATATTGATGTGAGTTGAAAAGAATAATGCAGTAGTAAAATCTAAAAATTATTAAAAGCCATGCATAGGTGTTATTGGCATCATAATTTCTGACCAAAATCGATGCACCACCATTTTAGAAAGAGGCACACCCATTATTTCCCACTATATGCAAAAACACAATAACCACATTCAGCTTAAAGTTTAAAATCTCAAAAATTTTGTGTAAGAATTTAATTAATTGTGAAGAATTGTGACATCTACCTTTGAAGTTAATATACAAATATCATTGCATTGGTTTCTTAAATAACCATTATAATTGTTTCTCCCATTTTGACGACGTAAATAAAAAATCTTTTATAATATAAACAGCAGAAGGATCACATACATGTACATGGTTTAAAATTTTGTGTGTAATTCTGACGTCAAACTATGCAGTTTTTAAATCCTGTCCTTCGATTTGGTTAGTTCATTTGTTTAAAAAATATTAAAAATTTACTAATTATTATCCTTTATTCCATCATCTTCTATTATTATTTACCTTGTTAGTACTTATATTTATCTTAGAAACTGACCTATAAGAGCACAGATGACTTATTTTATTAATGGTAAATTATCTACACAAAGCCTAACCAAGTACAGATGTATAATTTATTTATTTAAAAAAAAATTATTGCACAGCTAACTAAGATCAAGTTTTGTCCTAGCCTGGAGACATCAGTGGCAAACAAGAAAATGGATCTATAGTGACAGATCTGATTCAATTGGATGAAAATCTATAGAAAAATTTGTGCAAGTAGTTTGCCTGCATTGTGTTTTTGTTCATTCTAACCTGTTTTTTGTTTTGTTTTCTTTTGTTTTTGGAATAAAAGATGCAGTATACAAGAAGACCGTGAACCTGTGATTTGGGAAACCTGAATTTAGGAAGTCTGGACTCTCATCCCTGACACTAGCTAGCAGCTGAATTTAGGAGAGTCACTTAAACTATTTGTTTCTTTGTTTTCTTATTTGTTTGAAATGTGTGTTTTTTCTCATAACCCTGCTTTTAAATAAGTCTATAAATGCAGGGACACTGGTGTTATGTCTTATTTTTCTCTGTTTCCCATGTGGCTTAGTAGTAAATACTAAAAGTTCAATTCAAGTTCTTTCAAATAATTAAGCTCACAGATAAAATAAGAATTTCCACCAAACTACTAAGATTTCTTTAATATATAAATATTGCTTTAGGAAGTATTGATTTTAGAACAATTTTTATGGGAATAAAATAAATAGCTAATAAATCTGGAATTTGTTTTATATTTAGGCATTTTTTAATGTGTTTTACATGCATCTATCTCATTTAATGCTTTTAACAATGCTACAACTAAAAAGTAGTCAGGTGTAGACTGAAGCTTCACCCAAAGAATTTAGGACAGACCTTCAGTTTATTTAAGTTCTTCCCATTAAAGTAAAAACTCCATCACACAACCTCAATTCTAAATAAGTTACTATCTTTGGCTTTGTCATTTTTATCTTTTCTTAACATTTTTATTAGAATTATCAAACACATAAAAACAGAGAAAGAATATTATGTTCCCATATGTATATGAAGCTATCACCAAGCTCTCTCCTCTGAACTATTTTAAAGCAAATCCCAGACATTATATTATTCCACTGTCAAACATCATTATCACATCTAAAGAAAATACAAATAACTTCTTAATGTCATTTAAAACATATCTACCAAGCTTCAAATTTCCCTAATTGTCTCATAATGTTTTTAGCAATTAGTATTCAAACCAAGGTATACATTTTCATCTTTCAATATCCTTTGTATAATACCCAGCGTATCTGCCAGGTCTTCAGTCTTTCCACTCTACTACTTATTTTGCAAATAACTCATTATTTTCCCATTTCCTCATTTCACACTTCCAGCAACTCTTTTATAGGAATGGCCAGTCTTTCTTTGATAATTTGACTGTATTTCTATGCTGTTGGAATCCAATATAGTTAGACTAGGACTCTGTCCTGTCACTGTTAGAGAGACTAACAGCTTGCTATTTGATGATCACTCTTAACTATGATTAATGGAGTTATAGATCTTTTATGAAAAATGGTCAATAATTTACTTTTCTAGATCAATCTCAACAACCTATCCAACTAGGTCTATTCATTGAGTTATAGTATTTTTTTTTCAATAAAAATATTTGTAACAAATGCCTAAGTGCTCAAAAATAAAGAAGAAAATAAAGATTACTTTAATTAAGCCAGCCATATTAGAGATAACTATAATTGCCATTTTTACTATCTTCTATTGTCTTAGCTACATAACTACATAGTAAACAGAGAGAGAGAGCCATGAATAAAAGATAGTGACAAAATTATAGTTATGGGAACAAACTCTAGATTTAGGTAATACTAATTCAAACCCTGCTTTAAATAATTATTCGCTTTTTAATCCATAAATCTTAATCTCTCTGAATATCAGTTTCCTCGCCTCAAAAAATGAAAATAATAATAGTACTTTATTATTAGGCAGTTTGAAAGTACATATAGTATGGCAGATAAGAACGTTAGTCCACTCCTCATACTGCATAAATTTGATTCCAGGCTTAATTATTTACTAACTTGACAACTTACTTATGCCTTCCAAATGTGAGCTTTCTCACTTGTCAAGTGGAACTGATAATAATATATAAATGAATATTTTATGGAGAATTTGAAAAAGTCTGTGACATTTACAATATATTTTTAAAAAACTCTCACTTCAGAGCATTGCTTATTTGATATTTCTGATTATTCTCTTTCTACCAAATCTATATTTTAATAACCATGAATTCAATTATATTACAGCTTCAACAAGGGTATTCAGTATATATGGAACCTAAAACATAAAAAGCTCTTGCAATCTTTGCCCACTTTGTTTATATTTCATAATTTTTAGCAAAACTAGTGACCAGTCTAACCTACTAAAATAAAAGTTTATAACAATTACCTATCTAAGAACTCTCCTGCCACTGTGTGAAATAAATACGTTATCACTGAGACTTTAGTGGATATAAAAAAATGCTCTTTAGCCTTGCACCTTTCTTAATGTAAAAAAAATTTGAGACTTTCCGCAACTTAAACCCACTTTCAGACTTACAAAAGCCATTTTTTGTCCCTCTAGAAAAGTAGTATACAACAAAACTACAATAAACAGCTTTTGGCTTTGATTTTTATTAAAATGGAAGCATAATCAAAAGACTCCCTTGGGGTCAGAAATAATTCTTTTCATAATCCACAATAATCATTTTTCTGTCTGATCTAACTGCCTTGATCATTAGAAAGAAATTGTAAAATGTGAGACAAAAGTAGATATTTATTTTTAGGGTTCCAATCTACATAAATGCTTCTGTGTTAAATTTCTTTTGTCTAATGCACAAGTAGGACAGCAAGAAGTACTTCTATAAATAACTGATAATTTTAAATAATTTTACATGTGTTCTAGAAGAATAAAAATAGTTTGCTTTTAAAAAGATAATCTTTCAAGAAAGGACTTTAAATACACTCAAGTGATTTTTTTAATGCAACTTCAGAAAGCAATTCAGAATCCCAGGAAAGAGAATTTATGGAGCCCCTAGGGTGGAATCCCAGATATGACACCTCTGGTTTCCACCTGGACAGTTCCATTAACACATTTGAAACACAGGTGCCTCCTGAGATTCAGCACTCTGTTTTGTCTCACTGACTTCATCTTTTCCATTTGACCGTCATCCTTTGAGATCCAGGCCTGGGATGTGTCCAAACGACAACATAATATTACTTACATTAACTATGACACAAGAAAGAATGTGCTCTAAAGAAATTAAAATGTGTAATTTTAACACATTTAAACAAATGTATTATATCCAAAGGATTTAGAAAAAAACTTAAAATTATAAAGTCTAACAGCTCAAAATTAAAGCAAGCAGTATCCCAGGCAAGCAAGTTTGTGTATATGACTAAACTGGGCAAGTGACTCACCCAGAAGGCAGAAAACGTCAGGCGTGTTAGAAGAGAAAAGAAAAGGCTGCTTCATGGTATTAGCTGGATCAGTAAGAAACCTGCAGTGATATAAGGGAAAGCAGATGGTACACACTGGCTACACCAACAACAGCAAAACAACATCTAAAAGCCACACTCCTACTGCCTTTTTTCCCTTCCTTTGTCCATTCAGTCCAGATCATCTAGGCATTTTCTCCTATCACTGAGACAAAAACACAAGGTTTTTAGAACAGTTTACAATGCTTCTCTCCCCTGTTTACAATAAAGAGTGAGAAATTTTTAGTAGAATATGTGTTCTTACAACTAGAAAACTAATGTTTATTTTCAAATGAATTTACAAGTTTTAGTGAATAATGATAAGCAAAATCTATGGTATAGTATGTCACTTGACCTAATATAAATCATTACGTGCTCTTAAAACTTTCCTTGTGGGACTATCCATTAGGGTAGCTTGATTTTAACCTCTCCCTTGTGTGAATGAGAAGTCAAAACTTTTTAAACCTCCTCTAACAATAATCTAGTCATCCTGTATCCGGGCCTGGCATACACAGAAAAATGATAGCATTGCAAAATAATGACCTATGCTTTGAATGTCCTTATTGTGTTTTCCCTCCAAGATTCTGCCTCTCTCAAATACCTCTGAAACTAAAAAAAAAAAAAAGTCTTGGAAGTGTAGAAAAAGAGTAAAATATCTGCAGTATTAATGCATGCTTAAAGAGTTTACACATGTAAAAAAAGTTTAAACATGTGTATAGTAGAAATGTCTACATGACTTTATTATGTTTCTGTTTATCCAATTCCACACACGATTCAAATCACAGGCCTACTATGAAGGGCAGATGGAAAGTCAACAAGAGGTTAGGTGATTTTTTATTGTCATGGCAGATGGTAAAGCAATAAATGAAGTTAGAGTGTTTTAAGGTCCTAGTAATATTAGAGTAATAATAATAATTTATAGGAAATACCATTAAATCAAAAATGTATATTGTGACCTCTAAAATACCCAGAAAAGGAATAATAAGAAATGCATGATTAACAGGCTAATTTTGTGGATAGATGGAGAAAGATTAAATAATAAAATATTTGCATTTGGTTAATTCAAAGAAGACAAGAAAGAAGGGAAATGAATAATAGATAACATATGAGACTAATAGGAAGAAAAGTAATTTATAACTTTAAACAGAAATATATCTGCAATTATATTAATATAAAATAAACTATTTCACCTAAAAGAAAAATAATTAGGCTATATTAAAGAAATAAATATAAGCTATTTATGAAGTATATCTTAAATATAAGGCTACATAAAGTTTGAAAGTAAAAGTAAAAAGAAAGGCTCTAAGTAAAAGAAAAATGTTTATAGTTTTACTAATATCAAACAAAGTGGACACTGAGAGATAAAGAAAGAAATTTTAAAATTTTTATAAAGTGGTTAATCTGCTTGGAAAATATAAAAATTCTAAATCTTTATTAATCTAATGATTTAGCTTCAAAGTGTATTAGGCAAAAGTAAACAAAACCAAAAGTAGAAATATATAAACCCTCAATTATTATAAGAACTCACATATTTTTCTCAGTAAGTAAACTGATAAAATATCAATAAGCATAGAAAAAAATGACAATAACAAATCTGGCCTAATTGATGGATATGGAATACTATACACCACAGAAGGACACTGCAACTTTTCAAAAAAACATTTATCAAAATTAACTATATGCTGGGGTCACAAAACAAGTCTGAACAAATTTCAAAAGATTTATATCTTTCAGATAAGGATCTCTGACCACAACAGAACTGCAATACAAGAAAATCCCCAACTTCTAAAAAGCAGTCAAATGAAAAATCACAATGAAAAGTAGAGAGTATTTTGAACTAATTGATAATAAAAATACAACATGTTAAAGCTTGAGAGATACAGCTAAATCTGTGCTTAGAGGATAATTTATATCTTTAAATGCATACAATCACAAAAGAGTGAAAATTAAGGATCTATGTATTCATCTCTAGAAATCAAAACACAAATAGCAAATTAAAAACATAGCTTACACAAACTCTCCTAGATACTAAAGAAATAATTCCCAAATCATTGTATGAAACTGGCATAACCTTGACCCAAAAATCTGATAAGGACATTACAAGAAAGGTATTCAAAGACCACTGTCATATCGTGAATATAGATGAGAAAAAAGATCCTTAAAAAAAAATTAGTGAATCAAAGCCAGTTATATAAAATAAATTAAAATCTTTTTTTAAATTATTCAGCTTTTATTTTAATATAGAGGGCACATGTGTAGGATTGTTACATGGCTATACTGGACCCAGTAGTAAGCACAGTGCCCAATAGATGGATTTTTAACCCAAGCTCCCCTTCCTCCCTCTCCCTTTAGTAGTTCACAGTGTCTATTGTTGTCATATTTGTGTCCATGTGTGTTCAATATTTAATTCCCATTTACTAGTGATAACATGTGATATTTGGTTTTCTATTCCTATATTAATTTGCTTAGGATTATGTCCTCCAGCTCCATACTTTGTTGCTGCAAAGAACATTATTTCATTTTCTTTAATGGCTGTGTAGTATTTCATGGTGTAAATATACCACATTTTTCTTATCCAGTCTACCATTGATGGGCACCTGAGTTGATTCTGTGTTTTTGCTATTGTGAGTAGCACTGTGATGAACATATGTGTGCATGTGTCTTTTTGGTATAATAATTTATATTCCTTTGGCTATATACCCAGTAATAGGATTGCTGGATCAAATGGTAGCTCTGTTTTAAGTTCTTTGGGAAATTTCCAAACCACTTTCCACAGAGGCTGAACTAATTAATATTTCCCGCAATGGTGTATAAGCATTCCTCTTTCTCTGCAGCCTCACCAGCATCTGTTTTTTTCTTGACTCTTTAATAATAGCCTTTTTGACTGATGTAAGATGGCATCTCATTGCGGTTTTTATTTCAATTGTTCTGATGGTTAGTGATGATGACCACTTTTTTATGTGTTTGTTGGCTACCTGTATGTCTTCTTTTGAGAAATGTCTGCTCATGTACTTTGCCCACTTTTTAATGAAGTTATTTGTATTTTGCTTGTTTGTTTGTATTTTGTTTGATTTGTTAAAGTTCTTTATAGATTCTGAATATTAGAGCTTTGCCAGATGCATAGTTTGTGAATATTTTCTGTCATTCTGTAGGTTGTCTATTTACCCTGTTGATAGTTTCTTTTGCTGTGCAGAAGCTACTGAATTTAATTAGGTCTCACTTGTTAATTCTTGTTTTTATTGCAATTGGTTTTGGGGACTTGGCCATAAATTATTTGTCAAGACTGGTGTGAGAAAGGTAATCACTGGTGTGAGAAAGGTATTCCTAGATTTTCTTCTATGATTTTTATAATTTGAGGTCTTACATTTAAATCTTTAGTCCATCTCGAGTTAATTTTTACATATGGTGAAAGATATTCTGCATATGGGTAGCCAGCTATCTCAGCACCATTTATTGACTCAGGAGTCCTTTCCTCATTGCTTATTTTTATCGGCCTTGTCAAAGATTAGATGGTTGTAAGTGTGTGGCTTTATTTCTGAATTTTCTATTCTGTGCCATTGATCTACATGTCTGTTTTTGTACCAGTACCATGCTGTTTTGGTTACTGTAGGCTCATAGTATAATTCAATGTCGGTAGTGTGATGCCTCCTGCTTTTTTCTTTTTGCCTAGAATTGTTTCAGCTATTCAGGTTCTTTTTTGTTTCCATATGAATTTTAGAATAGTTTTTTCTAATTCTGCAAAAAAAATGACATTGGTGGTTTGATAGAAATAGTGTTAAATCTGTAAACTGTTTTGTGCAATATGGCTATTTTAATGATATTAATCCTTCCAATCCATGAGCATGGGATGTTTTTCCATTTATTTGTGTTTTCTCTGATTTCCTTCAACAGTGTACTATAGTTCTTAAAGAGATCTCTTATGTATTTTTTTAGGTGTATTCCTCAGTATTTTGTTTTCTTTGTGGCTATTGTAACGGGGATTGTGTTCTTGATTTGACTCTTGACCTGGACATTGTTGGTATATAGAAATGCTACTAATTTTTGTGTATTGATTTTGCATTTTGAATCCTTGCTGAAATCATGTTTCAATTATTGTAGCCTTTAGGCAGAATCTTTAGGGTTTTCTAAGTATAAAATCATATTGTCAGCAAAGAAAGTTTGACTTCCTTTCCTATTTGGATGCCTTTTATTTCTTTCTCTTGCCTGATTCGTCTGGTTAGGACTTCCAGTACTATGTTGAATAAGAGTGGTGAGAGTGGGCGTCCTTGCCTTGTTCCTGTTCTCAAGGGGAATGGTTCCAGCTCTTGTCTGTTCAACATGATGTTTGCTGTGGGTTTCTCATAGATGGCTCTTATTATTTTAAGGTACATTCCTTCAATGCCTAGTCAGTTGAGGATATTTATCATGAAGGAGTGTTGGATTTTATCAACAGCTTTATCTGCATCTATTGAGACGATCATATGGCTTTTGCTTTTAATTTTCTTTATGTAGTGAATCACATATATTGATTTGTGTTATGCTGAACCAAACTTGTATCTCAGTAATAAAGCGTACTTGATCATGGTGAATTAGCTTTTTGGTGTGCTGCTATGTTTATTTGATAGTATTTTGTGGAGGATTTTTGTGTCTATGTTTATCAGGGATATAGACCTGAAGTTTTCTTTCTTCACCATGTCTCTGCCAGATTTTGATATTAACATGATGCTGGTTTCATAGAATGAGTCACAGAGGAGTCCCTCACCCTTGATTTTTTGGAATAGTTTCAGTAGGATTACTATCAGTTATTCTTCATGTATCTGGTAGAATTTGGCTGTAAATCTACCTGGTCTCGGGCTTTTTTTGATTGGAAGTTATCTTGTTACTGATTCAATTTCAGAGCTTGACATTGGTCTATTAAAGGTTTCAATCTCCTGATTAAATCTTGGGAAATTTTGTGTTTCCATGAGTTTATCCAAAATGAATTAAAATCTTAATACTTACACTGACAGTTTAATATACCTGAGAAATTAATGGCCTCTGAGAAATTTGAAAAAATAATGTTTGTGTAAAATGATTATCGAGCCCAATTCAAAAAAAGGATTTAAGTATAACTTGATAGTTTACATTTATAAATTAAATAATAGAGACTCTCAAAAAAAGAAAAATCTACACAAATACTATTACTGTTTTGGCCATAAAATATGCAGCTTATTCCCTGATGTAGCTTTATTCACTTCTCCATTTTTGTGACTCTGATACATGAAAGAGTACTTACATAATAAAATAGGAGTTCCCAAAATGTATTCTGTAGCATTCCAGTGCAAGTTTTAAAAATTATGGAGAGAAACTTTTTTAAAAAAATTAAAACCACCTTATTGTTAAATACAATTGACTAACAATGAGCTAAATACAATTAATTCATTTCTTTAAAAAGAAAACTGGACTACATCTTAAAACTTGATATGCTAACATGTGTTCTAACACCCAAAGAGAAAAACATCTACTTAGACTTTCCCAAGTTTATTTGATCATAGGCCCACCATCTCCCTTTCCTTGTTATGAAGGAATACACTTCGAGTAATTCTGTGTTAAATAAATTTTAAGTAAATCTGAGGATTTGAAAACCTCTTGAGGCTCGAAAGCCAAGCACTATACAAAAGCCCATTATACAAATGAGGAAACTAAAGCTCATAAAAATCAGATTTGCCTAAAACCACAGGTCAGGCAGGTTGAAGAAAATCTGCATATTTTATTTTCAATGTCTTATTTAGCCCATATATATATATGTCATAAATATATATATGTCATAAATATATGTCATAAATATATATATATTTAGCCCATAAATATATGTCATAAATATATATATATTTAGTCCATATATATATATATGTCATAAATGCTGTTTTCTCCATTTAGACTATCTTAACTTTTTTGTATTCATTTCCTTCTGCCTTTTGACTACATATATCTGCTTGCTGATTTCAAACTGTGACTCGTAAGTCCACGTCTTTTGTTCCTTTTCCCAGGCTAGTAAGAATTTGGTAGCTTATTTTCACAATTCTTTAATCTGGAGGGTACTCCAAAGCCAGGTTTCTAAACTCACGCAGCAGATCCCTTTATTTCATAGTTAGGGGAAATAGAGATCATAAGGGGCAAGTAACTTCAGACATCCTCTCTACCTCAAAGTATTCTAAAAATTTACTCATGTTGTTTTCTTTACTGGCTTTCTCAAAGAAAACACTTCACTCTCTTTGCCAATAATTAATTCTCTATTATTATTGGCACACTCTAATTCTCTTAGAAAAATGATCAGTATTTCCTACCTTCTATTTCTCACTTCCCTTCACTCTTTCATTTATTGTAATCTAACCTTTCACTCTGATCACTGCACTAAAAATGTTCTCGAAAAAGCCCTCCTATTATCTCAAAATTGTGAAGTCCAAGGACCTTTTAACAGTCCTTATCCTTCTTGACCTCAGAGTCCAATTTGCTTGAACTGACCATCCTCTCTTTAAAACTTTCTTCTTCCTTATCTCCCATTTTACCTCTTTCAGAGCTTTACTAATCCTTTGATTACGCTTGGTCTTTTTAACCCACAAGTTGTCCCACTTTGCTACTAAAATACTGGTGTCTCCTAGGGTTTTATGGCTATCCATCTTCTCTTCCCTCTCTCTTCTTATGTAAAGTAATCTTAACATTCACTAAAATTCAACTATCAACTGCATAGTTAGGATTCTCAAATTTACATCTTTAGGCCTTGCCAGTCTTCCAAGTATCAAAGACATCTTCCTAAATGACTGCTTGATCTAAATATTCCGCTGTACCTCCAACTTATCCTGTTCAAAGTTGAATTCCTTATCTTCCCTGTAAGCCTACTTCTCCACCTGTTTTTCTATATCGTTATAAATTACCATTTACTCAGTCACCATAGATAAAAATCCACCATTTACAAATTCTCTCTTGTCTTAATCTCTAATACCAAATACAGCATTTGAATCTGATTTTCTTAAGCCACTTCTTTAAAGGATTCCATTCCGTCTAGTTTTATTATCCTAGTGAAAAAAAAAAACTCATTATCATGACTATTTTGAGAATATGATGGTCGCCTTGTTTAACTTTCTTTTACAACAAAATTACCCTTTATCTTGCTACCAGAGTTATGTCTTTCAATACATATTTCATTATATTCATTTTCCATTTTAAAAACGTGGAGGTTTATTCACAGTCTAGAGTATACAGATCAAACTCCTCACTATAAAATTTAAAACCATTTGTTGTGTAGCCCCAAATACCTGCCCAGTCTCACTTCTAAATCCTACCTTCATTCATTCCATATTCTAGTCATGAAAAGAAACTCATAGTTGTTTTAAAATATCAGTCATCACCACACTTCTACGACTGCACAAGCAATATCTGGAATGTGTATATGTGTACTTACTATTCTTTGCTTTTAAAATTCTACTCTTTCTCTGTTCAAGACCTAGTCAAAATGTGCTGAACTTTTTCAAAACCAATCCTGCTCATCTCTTCAATCTTTCCTTGGCAGAATCACTTGCTTTTTCATCTAAAATCATGTGGCTATAGTGAGACTTTTCATGTTAAACATAAATGGAGGTGGTGAAAATAAAATGATACATCATCTGTGAAATCAGATATGTCTTAATTTTTAATTCCATATCTTCTTCTTTCAAACTGTGAAACCTTAGAGTGGTTATTTTTCTCTCTGAAAATTTATTTTCTCATTTGTCAAAAGAAGGACAACAAATATATCTCAGGGATGTTGAAAATATTAAATAAAGCATAGAGCTTAGAACAAATTATGTGTTTAATTTCATTCACTTCAATAATAATAAATAGGCCTGGTGCAGTGGCTTACACCTGCAATCCCAACAGTTTAGGAGGCTGAGGCAGATGGATCACCTGAGATTAGGAGTTCCAGACCAGCCTGGCCAACATGGTGAAACCTCGTCTTTACTAAAAATACAAAAATTAGCTGGGCATGGTGGCAGGTGCCTGTAATCCCAGCTACTCGGGAGGCTGAGGCAGAAGACAGAGGTTGCAGTGAGCTGAGATCATGCCATTGCACTCCAGCCTGAGCAACAAGAGCAAGACTTCATCTCAACAATAATAATAATAATAAATATACATCTGTAAGGTGTATACTAATGTTTTAAATATGTTTATAAGCACTTTACATGTATTAATTCATTCCATCCTCACAACAGCCCTAGATGATTATTACTATAATTTTTTTCCATTTTCTACATGATGAATCAGACACTTTAAAAGGTTAATTAACCTGACCAATGTCATAGATATAATACATAGAGAAGCCAGGATTTCAGCCCAGGCAGTCTTGTTCTACGTCTCCGTCAGGCTGAGAAATACAATCTCGAAACATTTTTGCTGTTCTCCAAGGCTTCTCCCTTTCTGCTTTTTGATCGGCTCCAACTCAGCCCCTCTCCTGCCCTCACCAATCTCAAGTGATTCTGGTTATAAGAGTTTCTGTTGTAGCAAGAGGTATTACATCATTGGAAATACAAATAGATGAAGATTAAATGGACACACAATATTTCTCTTCTTACTTTATTTGCTATGAATAAGTTTTAGAAGAAACCATTAACCCACAACTCCAAGAGTAAAGTTGAAGAGGTTGTCAATTAAGATATTTATTAAGCCTTACGGGCAGATCAAAAGCAATTGCTTTCTTGGAGATGTGCAGAGAAAAAAAAATATTGAAAGCCACAAAAGGAATCTAAGAGTTAGAAATGCCAACATGCCTAACAAACTTTCCCTTTGGTATCTACATCCCAAGATAAAATACTCTAAACATTACAGACTCTGTGGCAAACCTAACAAAGAAATACGATTTGATTTAATATTTTTATGGAGTTTTGGAAAATGTGCATATTGTTCAAAACTCTGCTTTAGTGTCTAGGAACAAAAGAAAAAGTGAGACATTTGTGACTCACTGACCTAAAATTGTTTCAATCAATATAATGATCACAAAGGCTAAGGATATATCTAGAGGTGTAGCCTAGCAGATATCAGCATTCAGCACCTTATGCGTATTGATTGTATGGAAAATAAACTTGCATATTTTGCTAAACTAGGTCAAAGGAAAAAATATTTTTTGCAGTAAGACATAGTATTATTTATAACAAACTTCTAAAGAGCTATAGTTTTTAGCAAAGTCAATCAGAATTTGTTACCTTTAGTTGAAAATGTATAAGGAAAAAAATAGTAAATTCTTACCAGAAATCAAGGTTGAAAAATAGATGACCACTGTGTTCACAGTAGTACTCTCACAGCAGCATATTTTTCATCTTGTATTGTTAACACTGTGCAACAAAAACTGTCAGACTATAGGGAAAATTAATAGCTGGACCTATGCTATGGGAGAAGAAAAATGCTTATAACTTGGCCAAAATATTCACATAAACTCCCTTGGTCTATATTTAATCAATGTCATTTTCCAGCATAAGAAATCTTCATCTTTATTTACAGCTTCTACCTTGGTTGTGCAGAATGTTCATGATCTGTTTCACTTGGAATGCTTTCAAAATGCTTTTTTCAGAAAATAAGGTTTTCAATGTCATTCTATAGTAAGAGTCTTCCCTCTAGTAACAAAGCATCTTTCCAGAAGTCCCATTAATGTTCAACAATCAAAGTAGCTGTGAGTGGACATTTAAAATAAGAAATCTTATCCCTTACCTGGAGTGTAAAGAAAGTCTACAGGACTTTCTTCCATTCTGAGTTCATTGGTGGGCCAAACTGATTATTTTATTAAAGTAGCTAATTGTTGTCTTAGAGCTCAAGGAACAGGACCTTGGGGAAATAGATCACGGGAACCATAGAATATGAGTTGAATTCTGGGAGCTGGGGATCCAAGACAACAGCATGAGCCTTAGGTGACTGAGAGTGTGATGAAGGCAAGCCTTGAACAACAGGCATCTGTCATAGCTGCTGAATCGAGGCCTATAATTCTAAAAAAAGTTCATCTGGCTGATTGGAGAGGATTGTGATTGCAAGTCAGAAAAGCATGTTCCTGCTTGCCTGAAAGACAGAAACAGCCAAGTTATGAACTGTCTCTGGGAGCTGTGGGCAGCCTCCAGAAAGTGAGAGCAGATTCAAGCCAACATCCAGTGAGGAAATGGGGACCTGAGTCTTGCAACCACAAGAAACTGAATTCTGCCAACATGAATGACCTTGGAAATGAGTTTTGGCACCACATCTTCCAGATAAGAACGCAGCTTAGCCAACACTTTGATTTCAGCCATGAAAGAACATAAGCAGATAACCCAGCCACTCTGTGTCCTGACTTGATTTACAGAACTGTGAGATAACAAATGGATTTTGTTTTAGCTGCTGTATTTGCAGTAAATTTTCCACACGGATATGGAAACTAATACAGTTGAGAAAGTGATGATGATGATAATATTAAGAAGTAACTGTAAGGAACAGGAAACCCACACATGCTGGCATTAGACTTCAGGAGTAAAGGCAATATCTTATTAGGACTTAAACCCTCTGCAGACATGATATTTCAAATAGCAATTTGGCAGAAGGTGACATAAATAAGATAGTACACAGAGGCACAATATAGTTGTGTTATTAAAGTGGACTTTTTGTATGCTGTTATCCCTGATGCCAAGAAAAAAAGAAATCTACAAACACTGCCTTGACTTTTGTTCCTTGAAACTGAAGAGACACATTCCACAGAACTGTTCTCTAGCTTTTCTGTGCATTAGAATTACCTAGGGAGATCTGAATAATCACAGAGTTTAGGGCATTCTCCTTCCAGTAAATCAGAATCCTTGGGAGTAGGACCCAAGCTTAAGTATGATCTTATAAACTGCCCCAATTTTTTCATTCAATGAACAGTCCAGTTTAAGAACCAGTGCTAAAAAGATCATGTCCCCCAAACTGAGGACTTTTGTTCTACTTTAATTTGCGGTGGAAACTCAACTGAAAATTATTACTGAATTTTCATTCAGAAAATAATAATAGCTAATATCTGACGAGTACTTACTATCTATGTGTTTTTAAGTTTTATCCAACAAATGAATTAATAACTTGCTCAAAGACACACACCAAGTGCATACTCAAGAATGTAACAGCAGTTGCTGCGCCCACAGTCCCCATGCTAAATCTCTTTTCTGTAATGCTTGTGTTTATCCAGACTGTTATGTTTTCCCTTATCACCTGCGATGAAAAGCAAATGGCATTTTCTGTAGCAATTTTTTTTCTCTCAGTCATGTTTCCCCAAATATGTGAAACAAAGCTATTTAGACTTTTCCTAAAAGATTAAATGCTAAAATAAACCTTCTTGACTCTTTAATAACTATTTGATACAAAGGTACCCGTTACCCACTTAGGGCCTATAATTAGAAAGGCATCTCTTCTTTCCAAGGGTAAGTCAAAATCTATAAAAGATATTCAAACAATATATAATATGTTTCTCAAGAAAATTATATAAGAAAGCTTCTGTGATTATCAAATGAAAGAGAGTACAGAGAAGTTAACATAACTGATTATTGGATGGTAGAAGGAGAATTGCCCTCATATCCCTTCACTTTTGAGAAAAATCAGTGATGATCTACATAAGCGTTGTTCATTCTGTTACACAATGGCTAGATTGAAACTCTTTTAAAGACAGATTTGTATTTATAAAATTTCCAGTAGAAGTGTCGATTTCTGGGCTTAATTCATCAAACATCTTATGGTGTATGGGCACCTTAGGGAGGAATAGCTTTTCACAGAAAGCTATTGTCAGACTGGCTGCTTAAATATTTAATATGAAAACAGTGGTTAAAGGAAGACAAATAATTTTCTGTCATTTTTGAAAATGACTCTGAAGCAAGAAACAGGCATCCCAATTCATAAGATGCAAATTTTAAAAAGAGAATCATCAAAACTTGAATAAACAGAAATTCCATCAGATTCGAGAAAAATTCATTTGCCATTTTAGTTAACAATTAATACCAGTTCCTTTCTGCAATCAAAAAAAAAAGAATTAATACCAGTTCCTTTTCAATATACACTGTGTAGATCACCCTCTGAAGATTCTCTGAAAAATAAACCTGCAAAAGGTAGATTAATTGGAGGAAACTTATACAAATTTATTTAACATGTATATACAGAAGCCTTCAGAATGAAGACTCCCAGTACTAATTGTGGAGGATACTAATTAATAGAAACAGATGATCAAAGAGATTATAACCTAGAGGAGAAAATAAGCAAAACATACACACAAAAAGCTAAACCCGATAATTATAGTAAAGCAGCAGAAAATATGCCATAGGAGTTCAGATAAAGAGACGTGATTTCTGACCAGGCAAAATTAAAGAGGGGTCTATGAGTATTTTTATTTATTTAAGTCACTTTCTTCCAGTATCATGCTGTGTAGAAAAAAATATGTCACTTGCATATATTATATAATAATAATTATTGTGCTTGCTCTTTAAGAATTCCATGAGAATTTACTCTGGCCTTTCATTAGTATTTACTTTTTGTTATTAAAAATTTAAAGAAGTTCTTTGTGACATTGCAGTTTCATCCATAGGTGTCCCAAATACAGAGCTTTGTAAGAGAAACAGTTATAAAGCTTGATTTCTACACATTTACATTTTCAGTGTCTAAGATTCTAATCTTGGAAAATTCTACTTCTAAATTCTTAATTTTATGAAATCATTTGTCTTAAATATACATGTTATTTGACAATGTCCATTGAGGCCTAATGTACTGTAAAGTAAAATTTATTATGTCTTCTATTTTATAAACGAGGAAACAACAGAGAGTTTGTCTTCCTAATAACCCAGTAAGTCACACCACAGGATCACAGGATAGAGGGCCTGAAAGTGTTAATAAATCATCCTTGCCCTATTATTTGGCATTAAATAGGATGAGTCATGTTGAACAAAATGGGAATCTATTTGCAGCATTTATTATGTCAACTATAATATGTAATTTTCCTCCCACAAAAGAAACAAGGAAGTGGTTACCTTTGCCCCATGTGCTGGAAAGAATAGGTAGCTCATCTAGGAGAGAGTGCTGCTTATGGTTGAGAGACATAAGCTGGGTAGAATGCTCAAGTGAAAGAAGGAATTAAAAGAGCAAGTGAAAACAGTAAAAATATTTATAAAGTTAATAAGTAAAAAGATCAAATTGCCATAGTTTGCAGAGCTTAGGAGACTAAAAGAAAGACTTCCACAGGAAGCTATTGTCAGACTGGGTGCTTCAATATTTAAATTGAAAACAATGATTAAAGAAAGACTAAGAATTTTCTGTCATCTTTTATAATGACTCTGAAGCAAGAAACAAGCATCCTAATTTATAAGATGTAAATTTTAAAAAGAGAATCATCAAAACTTAAATAAACAGAAATTCCATCAGATTCGAGAAAAATTCATTTGCCATTTTAGTTAAGAATTAATACGAGCTCCCTTTAAATATACACTGTGTAGGTCACCCTCTGAAGGTTCTCTGAAAAATAAACCTGCAAAAGGCAGATTAATTGGAGAAAAGGTATACAAATTTATTTAGCATGTATAGACAGAAGCCTTCAGAATGAAAACCCAAAGATACACAGAAAATTGTCAATTTTGATGCTTACGTTCAACAAAGTATGGACAGTCATGTAGAAATACAACTGGACAAAAAGCATATGATCTAATGCTAATAGACTGAGTGAGGAAACCCAGCAAGGCCTGTCTGTCTGGAATCTTCTTGGCCTTGCTGAGCATGCATTTCTTCCTTCTGGGTGTGGGGCAGGACCTTCTCAGGAATGAGAGCCTCTGGAAGTTGTTATCAGAACATATCAGAACACTGGTAAATATATTTTTCCTTATTAAATATATTTATACAAAATTGCTATAAAATTGGTATCTTTACTATTTAAAAGTTTGCATTCAGTTATCCTCAGCCTGCTTTTTATAAAACACCTTTTTAATGCTCTAATTTTAAAAAGTGTATATTGTTTTATTTATTTAAAGAATACATCTACATTTATCTTCTGACTGTTGAAAAAAATTAACACTGATTTCAGAGTTACATATAAACAGAATGGAGAAAAATATTAGATTCAAATAATATTAGATTCAAATAATTATTTCAGCTACAATAGTGCTCAGTGAACATAAAATGAGTAAACAGCATCCTCTTGGAATATGACCTTAACAGGCCATAGGTTTCATTCAGTGTCATTGCATCTTGTCTTTGATCACCAAAACGATGCAATAACTAGCAGAGAAGTTGTCTTAAACTACTTGAAAATTAGCATTTTATTGCATTTGCTTATTAATAGCATGGCCTTCCTCTCCTACAGGACAAAGCCCTATGTCTGATTTATGACTTTGTTCCTCAAGCTTGGCATATATTTAGCAAATGAGTAAATGGGCATAATAAAACTCTTCAACGGAAATGGACCAATTGATGCTATGAAGACAACAAGCATAAAAAATGTAAGGAGTCACGGATTCCAAACTCAATACAGTACTTGCCTGTACTTCAAATCATATCAATATTCATTATCACAAAAGCAGAATTCAGTCTCTCTGAATTAAAAAAAAAAGAATTCCAGAATTTTAAAACATAAAAACAGAGGCAAATTTCATTCAATTTATTGAAAGTTAATATTCAAAAAAATGAAAATCTTACCAAAAAGTAGCATGGACTTTAATTTACGAAGTATAGATTTCTATGACGAAGAAAAAATATGCTTTAAAAATATTAATACAGACTTTCTCTTCTGACAAAGAGGAGACTAGATTTAACTTCCTACCTGAAATAAATTGGAAAAAAAAAAAAAAAACAATTTTCAAGAAAATGGACATCAGACAAATAAGGACAAGCATCCCTAAAAGAAGGGAGACAAAAGAGGTGAGCCCTAAGATTGTCTAATTTAACTGTTTTAAGAGTTTTCAGTCTGCAGGGTAAGGAATGGAAACCCAGGAATCAAAAAGATAGAGATGGAAATGTGGGGGAGCCAAAGCAGCCAGAGTTCACAGTGCAGAGTACCAGAAAAGGGAGAACAGCACAGAGAGGGAACTCAGAGATCTGCAAAGGGTCCTCCTCACATTTTTTTTTTTTTTTTTTTTTTTGAGACAGAGTCTTGCTCTGTCGCCCAGGCTGGAGTGCAGTGGCGCGATCTCGGCTCACTGCAAGCTCCGCCTCCCGGGTTCATGCCATTCTCCTGCCTCAGACTCCAGAGCAGCTGGGACTACAGGCGCCTGCCACCACGCCCCGCTAAGTTTTTGTATTTTTAGTAGAGACGGGGTTTCACCGTGTTAGCCAGGACCTCCTCACTTCTTTAGTTGAGAACTGCTCTGCACATACATTTTAAAAAAATTGCCCAAGATTGGGAAAATAACTTGTAGAAAAGATAAGGAAAACAAAGACTATTACTTAAAAATTGCACAAAGCCAGGAATGTTTTCTTTTTTCACCAGCCAGAGTAGAAGACTTAATTGTTGAACTTAGGAAGAAGGGTTTTATCTTAGCAATGTGTAAAATTAGATGAAAATGTTGTTCTGGTACTGCCTAACAAAGTTTAAAGCAGAACCTGCAAGAATAAAAGCTTTATTCCAGAAATACAAGCTTGTTTTAACACTTTAAAAACTATCAATTTAATTCACTGTATTAACAGACTAAAAAAGGAAGAACGTATGATCATCTCCATAGATGCAGAAAAAGCATTTGACAAAATCCAATATCCATTTCTTATAAAAACTCTAAACAAAGAATAGAAAGAAACTTTAAATGCTTTCCCCCTAGATATGGGACAAGCCCACATCCATTATTATCACTTTCATTCAGCACTGTACTAAGGTCCTAGACAATGCAACGAGGCCAAAAAATGAAATTAAAGGCATACAGACTGCAAAGGAAAATAAATTTTTTTGCTCTCATACATGATTGTCTATGCAGAAAATTCTATGAAATCTGCAAAAATGCTTCTAGAAGAAGTTAGTTTAGCAAGTTTACAAAATACAAGATAAATATAAATATCTATAATATTTCTTTACACTGAAAGCAAATAATTGGAAAATAAAATTATTAAATTCCGACGAAAGCTGTGCAAGATCTGTAGACTGAAAACTACCGAACTTTGTTGAGGGAAAATTAAAGAAGATCAAAATAAATTAAAAGACATCCTGTGTCTATAAATCAAACAACTCAAATTTGTGAAGATGTTACTTTCCTCCAAATTGAGCTACAGACTTAAAGCAAATCCAGACCACAATCTTTGCAGTTTTTTGTCTTGTTTTGTTTGTTTTTTGTTTTTTTGTAGGAATTAACAAGCTGATTCTAAAATTGACATGGAAATAGAAAGAACCAGTAAATAGCCAAAACGACTTTGGAAAATAACAAAAAGTTTGCAAGATTTGCAGTACCTTTCTTCAAGACTCATTATAAAGCTATGGTAATCAAGACAATGATTTTAAGATAGACAAATAAATTAGTTAAATAGAAAAGAAATTCTAGAAATAAATTCAAACATATCCAAACAATTGATTTTTGGCAAAATCAAAGCCCATTTAATGAAAAAAGGATAGTGTTTTCAACAAATGATGCTGGATGGGTTTGGGCCCAGAAAAAATTAGCATATGTGTAATAAGCAATAGTAAAAAATAAATTGCTCCTAAGAACAGTGGCTGACAGTTAGGAAAGCTGACTGCCGACCTACTTAATAGAACCTTTCTCAGCATACGTTTATTTATTAATTTTTTTCAGATACGACACAGTGCCTGATATCAGTTTTATTAACTGTCTTGTCAGCAGTGGACTCTGCACAATATTAAAAGCAAACTGGTGTCCCAAAGGAAGGAAACAACATGCCACTTCTCAGCAGCATGTCAATCTTCGGGAACGCTAATCTCTGCTATCAACAGGTCTAACATTGATTAGATCTTCAAACTGTATGTAGTTAGTTGTGAGGCGCATGCCTTACAGAGGCAGAGCAAGAAAGGATGGTGTTGAAATTTAGAAAGGTAAGAAAAATGAAATGCAAAATATTGCAGGAACTATTATGATTAAAATTTATACAGCCATATGCAGGCACAATAAGTTTCATACAATATGCCAATCCCTAACACGCTACCAAATACAACCTCCATGAGTTCAGGGGCTTTTGTCTATTATGCTTACTACTGAGATAGAGAGGTAGAAATTATTTTTTTAGGAATTTATAAATAATCACATATTTTGACTTCAATGACATTATGAGTAGATTTACATGAAAATTTTAACAGTAATTTAGAAATACACACACACGAGCCAATCCTCATTATTTGCAGATTTTGTATTTTCAAATTTGTCTACTTGATAAAATTTATCTGTAACCAAAACCAATACTCTTGGCATTTACAAAGGCATTTGCGGAGGGGCAAAATATTTGAGTTGCCTGACAGCTGCAGGTTCCTGAGGTCGAACAAGGTAACACTCTGCCATGTTGTTTCAGTTTTTATACTGTAAACACATGTCTTATTCAGGATCTATTGAGTACCACATTTTTTGCATTTCTGTACTTACTGTTGGTGATTTTGCTGTTTTAAATGGCCTCAAACATGGTGTGGAAGTGCTATCTTATGTTTCTAAACACAAGAAGACTGTGATGGGCCTTACAGAGAAAATATTTGTTAGTTAAGCTTCATTCAAGCATGAATTATAGGGCTATTGACCGTGAGTTAAATGCTAATGAATCAACAAACAGTATATCCAGAAAAAAAAAAAGAGGAAATTTGCTGATTTGTACATAAGACCGTTCCAGAAACTGCTGAAGTAACATTTATAGCATATAATGAAGCTATGGAACAGTTGGAAAAAAATAGCTAAATTTGTGAATTCATGAGATGACAACTGATTAGAAAAAAAAGCATAGTGGGCAGCATTATTGTAAGGTTCAAAGTCAAAGAAAATTACTGTAATGTTACCCAGGGTCAGGAAAACGTTAAATTCTTCTCAGCTAGTGCTGTCTGCCTCACACATTTCAAAAGGTGGTATGGTGTGAAAAATGCTAAACTTGCAGGCAAGCAGGTTGTTCAGTTCAGGAGGCAGCAAAAGAATGTTGAAAATATCTGCTAAGTGTTATACAGGAAAAGGGTCATGGGGAAGAGCAGGATTTTAATGCGATTGTGACTGGCTTATTTTACATGGACTTGGCCAAAGGAACCTATATAACACAAATGACTTCCAAAGCCCCAGGCTCTAAATCATTCAAAGACTGTTCAATCAATTATTTGTAAGAAATATATATATATATATATATCTTATATATATATAAAATATAAATATATATATATTACATAAGGTGCTTTAAACAGAATGACACATAAAACAAGGTTATGCATTGATTGGCTGATGAAAATATGATCAGAGACTCACAGGAATCAAACCTTCTATTTCTCCTGTCAGTTATACCTCAGAAAAGCTGGAAAAATCTATAACATATAAATTTTATGCTAAGTGAAATTTAGTTAAGAAAGACATACTATATCTTACCCATCTAAGTGCTCCTTGATTAGCATAGTAATTAGCATGTGTTAGGCCCTCAATGAATATAAGTTGAGAAATTATATTTAAGGGAAGATATCTTGTTTATTTGTTTTGTATCTCAACCAGCTAGCTTTTATTCTATCACTTTACCACACTTTATAAGTATTATTACTGTTAATAAAGAGAAAAAGGAAAGAAATGACATTTCTTAAGCACTTGCATTGAGCCAGCCACCATGCAAAAATGTCATGCCCATTGTGCCTTTTAATCACCCCAATATCACTATAAAAGAGCAACTATTATTCCCCATTCTACAGATAAGAAACTTGGTATGGCAAGTAGTAAACCCAGATTTTCTACCTCTAAAGCTTGTATTTTTAAGCCACCTAAGTCTCACCCACAGTGTTCATTAAGTTCTGGCCAAGAAACATACTGCTCTCCTTCCTTCACACTAGTCTCCTCATCTAGTTCGATCACAAGTTCCAGTTGCCAAGTTCAGCCAGGTATGCCTATAACCTGGCTTAATTTTTCTAGTGTCCCCTTTTACTCTCAACGATGTCTGCCTGTGGATGACGCATCATGTGATCACCATACCTCTTATTTCACCCAGGTTGTCAGTCCCCATTATGTTTTATCCAGGTAGAGTAACTTCTTCATAGATTGTCATGAAGAAGAGCTCTTCCTCTCTTCAAGTCACTTCCTTTACCTTTTCTCAGAGAAGAGCTTGGCTAAAGTTTTCACAGAGATTTCTTTGAGTAACAACCGCATGATGGCATTTTCCTTACTTTACAATCTCAGTGATTTTGCTGCTGCAGCAAATTACCACAAACCTGGTGACTCAAAATTATGCAAATATATTACCATGCAGGTCTATGGGTCAGAAGTCTGGTGTATATCTCATTTGCTAAGATCACGGTTTTCGCAGTTCATTACTTTCTGGAGGCTCTACGCAAAAATCTATGTTCTTGCTTTTTCTACCTTTTAGAGGACATCTGCTTTCCTCGGCTTATGGCCCCTTCCTCTATCTTCAAGCAGGCAATATCAGGCTAAGTTACCACACTGCTATCTTTCTGGTACTCTCTTCCTATTCCCTCTTCTACTTATTGAGCCTATCTAGATAATCTCACTATTTTAAAGTCAGCTGATTTGCAACTTTAATTCTATCTGCAGCTTTAATTTCCCCTGACCATAACCTAATGTATTCAAAGGTTTCAAGAATTATGACATAAACTTCATTGGAGAGTCATTATTCTCCCTAAGACAGTAGTTGATTTTCAAATTTCACTCAACTTCCTAACTACCAAGACAACAGAATAAAATGAAATTTCAAAAACAGATAGCAAGGTAAACTCTATAAATCAACATATGAGTTCAGTCCCAAAGGATAAGTAAAGTTTTTCTTAACAATATTTGTTGAAAAAGAATTCATCAGAAAGGTCTTTAATAAAGACAGTGAATATTATCATGGACCATGGCATTGCATCACTCTTTTGTTTCAAAAACGGAAAATCATATTTTATATGCCTTTTTTGCCAAGGGTCCTCGCAAAATCATATTGAGCAATATTTAAATGTTTTTTCTCACTTAAAAAAAATTTGTCATGCTAAGTCCTTGCCCTGCAAAGAAAATACTTGTTTAATTGATTAAACCTCTAGTGATACACATCTTGAAACAATCAATGGAAAATATCATTAATAAAAATCAGCTACAGAAAATTTAAACAGATCTATTAATTCTTTCTGTTTTATATTCTAAACAAGTGGACAACTAACTCACTTTAAGAACAGCTCATATCCTGCTTGATCAGAGAATAGAATTCACAAAATAAGAACAGATGCAAATTCTATTTCCAAAATACTACATAATACAAAGACTTCATGAAAATGATGTAATTTATCAATTAGGAGCTACAAATACTATGCAAAATAAAATTCTCTTAAAATTGTAAAATTGATTTCCTTTATTTGTGCTATTTTTGTTAGTGTGGGCTACCAAATAAAATGAAGTAAACAAGCCACATAAAAAGAGTTAGACGAATGTGAAAACTGGAAATTGAGTAGCCCACAGGGAATGTAAATAACGAAGAGGAATTAACAAAATAAAGTGTATTATGTATTTGGATCAATAAAATTACAAATTACAAATTTCTTCTGCCATGTATCTTGTCACTCTTCTGAGAGATTATTTCTACAGGGTTTTGTTGTTTTTTTTTTTCAAAACAAAACAATATTTTTTTAAAATAAAACTTTTTGTTTTAAATTTTAAAAAGGTAACCAAACATTCAAAAAATTTCAAATTACTGTTTGTTTTTAAAGTCAAAACAACCAATGTTGAGAAGTACTTATTTTAAACCTAGCTTTGGAAGGTAAAGATGTTACCAAAAATTAGCAGTTTTATAAAACATGTCATCTACTTTTATAAAAAATATTTCAAGTAAAATGTTTGTACTCCTGATTTCCAATCCAGCATGTAAGGAGTTTGGAAGTCATCATTCCATTCTATGAGGAAGCTAAAGCCGAATAAACGGAAAAATCAACAACTCTTCTTAGATCCCTCAAAAAGGATACAATTTTGTTCCTGATTCCAGGACAAACCACTGTTCTCAAAATTAGAGACAGACATAGAACACATCTATCTCTCTCAATACAGAGAATTACAATTTACCAAAGTAGAAACCTAGGAGTGGAAATCACTTTGGAAACCAGTGCTGGATTTCTTTTTTCAATACCTCACGTCCAGCTATGAAAAAAAAAAAAAAAAAAAAAAAAAAGGCATTCCAAAAGGCAAAAAAATACAATTTTAAGAGACAAAACAAGGTCAGAAGCAGACTCAGATATGGCAGGATATTAAAGCTACTACTGTCAATATGCTAAGTGTGCTAATGGATAATGCAGACAGTATGCAAGAACAGACTGGTAATGTGAGCAGAGTAATGGAAATTTTAAAATAAGAACCAAAAAGAAACTCTAGAAATCAAAAATACTGTAACAGAAATGAAGAATGTTGTGATAGGCTTATTAGCAGACTGGACACGCCGAGGAAAGAATCTCTGAGCCTAAGAATATCTCAATAAAAGCAACTAAAACTGAAAAGCAAACAGGAAAAAGACTGAAAAACACAGAACAGACTAAGAACCATGGAACAATGTGATACAAACAATTAGTGGCACCCCAAAACAATTATAATAGTAACATCAAAGACCACAAATTGCAGATCACAAATAGGATATAATAATAATGAAGTTTGAAATCTTGCAAGAATTACCAACATGTCACAGAGAGACAGGAAGTGAACCCATGCTGTTGTAAAATGGTCTCAACAGACTTGCTGGATGTAAGGTTGCCGCAAACTTTCAATTTGTAAAAAAATGCAATATCCACAGAGTGCAATAAAGCTAAGTGCAATAAAACAAGATATCCCTGCATTTCGTTAAGAAAACCATGTTCATGAAACATGTGTCTGTTGAGTTACATTCAAACTACCCATCATGGATACAGCATTTTTTTTTCTTGAGTCTTTCTATTTCTGATGAGTGTCAAGGAGAGGGAGGTGGAATACAATCTCCAAGGTCACAGGAATTCATTAAATATAGCTGACAATGCTATAGTAAAGAAAAAATATATATTTCTAAGTCTGTATCCACGTTAAATTCATGAAGTAGTTGTTTACTCTCAAAAGAATCAAAAATAAATACCAAGGGAATAAGATTATAAATGGTGACAGACGCTTCTCAGTGATTGTGGTCCTTTGCATCATATGGGTACCAGAATATAAATTGGGTAAATTCATTCCTTGGGGAACAGAGCAGAAGTCAAACCACGTGACCAGGCCAAGCAGGATGGATTTAATTAGGAATACTGCAGCATAATATTCACATAAACTCATAAAATTTTATTTTGCTGAGTTAAGCAATAGTTATTTTCAGAGCTCACTCACCAGTGGGGAAGAGTTCCCAAAAGGCTACCAGAACTTGTCTCATTAATTCAACCCCAAAGCAGAGCTGAGACTGTGTGTGTTTGGTGACTTGGGTTGACACTGAGCTGGGCTAAAACAGGCAGAGGTAGTATTGACTGAAAAAAAAAAAATCCCCCAAATATCTGACCTTATTGAAAAATGCAGCAGTACTTCCACACAGCTTTATGTGGCTCGCAGATAGTCGTTGAGTGCAGGAATAATCTAAATATTTTTTATTAACTGTCAACTGCTCAGTAATGCTTACTATAAAAACTATTAAAATTATAGTTCTGATGCCCCATACCCTGGTTTGTTTCATCAACTTACTATCTCATTTTATACTTTTCACTTATTCATTATACTTTTTATTATCTTTTTTTCTCTACTGGAATTGTGACATTTTATATTTGTTTCATTCATTAGTGTATCTTAAGTGTTTAAAATGACACCTGACACATAAATGATTATCAATGTATTAAAAGAATAAAAATTTTGAATTTTCAAGAATTTCTCTTGGGCTTTCTCTTCAAAGAGGAGCTCTGCAGTGAAAAGCATTCCGGAGACGTATGAAGTCCACACTGACATTTTCCCCAGCGCATTCTGACCTCTGCGCTCTCATCACATAAGCAAACTCTAAGGTCAATAGTTGTTCACATTTTGGCACTGAGAAATGTGACAGCTGAAAGAAGCATGGCATCTTCGAAAAGAAATAAGCATGGAAGTGCAAAAAACAAGCATCACCACCTCATAATTGTGTAAATTTAGGCAAGTTTTGTAACATGTCTTAGTCTTGATTTCCTCAAAACAGGCATATTAGTTACATGGTAGATTTGCTGTGATAATTAAATGAAATTATATACATTAAGTACTTATTGAGGTGCTAGGCACATTCAGAAAATGATTATTTTCTCAACCTCAAATTCAAATCCACAAGAAATGAATTCCTGTCATTCTTCTACCACCAATAAGTCCTAGTTTGGAATTCCAACGCTCAAGCCTGAAACCCTGACTTTGTGACTGGGTGCCAGCCCCTAGCTCCCTGCTCCAGACTATCCACTACCCTGAGCCTCTTCTTGTTACCTACTACAAGGCTTTGAAATAATTGCTTGTCATCCCTCTGCTTAGATAGACATTCTGCTCATTTCTTGGACTGCTTGAGAAATTCTAGCCTTTGCTTCTTGGGTCTCCTGTCCTTTCCCTTTCTTGGGACTCAGAAATCAATTATTCAAAATGAAGGCCTCATTATCAGAAACAAAAGTTTTTCTCTGATTTTTTTGCTGTTGCTTTCAGTCTTATTTTCCACCAAGTCAAATCATAAAAACTAGAATCTCTTTTTCTTAAGGTTGGTCATAAAAACTAGAACCCCTTTTCCCCAAAGCCAGCCATAAAACCTAACAATTTTACTCTGGCTTTTATTCTGACTGTCTGTATAAAAACTGGCTGTAAAAAAAATTATCTGACCTACCTTGTTTGACTGTAGGTCATAAGCCTCCTATACCAAAGAGGGTCGTTCCCCATACACAGAAAGAAGAAATACAAGCTCGGAGAGACCAAGAAGAATATGGACAGACTAGACTTGAGTTTCCCCACACAGTCTATTAATGCTAGATCACACTCTTTTTGTCTAATCATGTTTTTGCACAGCTATTCATACTTTGTTGAACCTAAGTGTAAAAATGGACACTTTGCCCTGTATCTTTGGGTCTTTATTCTGAAGGCTCTGGTGTACGTATTAATAACTTTTGAATGCCTTTTCTCTGATCAATATGCCTTGGCTAAATAAATGACTATAATTTTACAATGACTTGTGATCCTATTTCGAGTAAGTGTTTTAAACTTTTGATATTTGACAGACTTTTCAAAATCAAAATTTCAAATTCTACATGTATGTTCTTTTAACCTCACACTAACTTTTCAGATATTAGGGCTCCTGGAAGTCCAAGAGGGACATATCAGGCATGTTTGGTATGTTAAAATCATGTGGGGAACATCGTCAAATAAGAAATAGTGTTTAACTTTCTATGGTTTATATTTACATAAATGTGTTGTTAACTTATGTCCCAAAATTACATGAGATTTCTAAAATTCTGATATGTCGTACTACATGTTATCAGTAATAATTATGATTATCATGTTAACATCATTATATACCACAAAAATAACTAAATTTTCTTGTCAATTGTCTTTCACCATGACTATTCTAGGATTTTTGTCTTCCACAAACAATCATTGTTTTATTTTTTAATTATTCTTCAAAAGTGGTTTATAATTACCAACAGTCCAAAATTTACTTCTTCTTTTAAAAATCCCATGTAAAGGACTCTCTGACAAGTACTCTTGACAGGTTTCTAGTAACTTTGGAGATCATACCATTAGACTAGGTAAAAACTTCCAGGACTTCAATTAAAAAGCTGATGCATTCATGAGGAATACTAATCCAACATCAAACAGAACAAAAGTTAATTACATGGGACTAAACTGATAAAAGACTAAAATAGTTTTTATATTTTTTTCACTTAAAACACTGCTGATTCTTTTTATTTATTTTTATTTTATTTTATTTTTTCTTTTTTGAGACAGAGTCTCGCTCTGTCACCAGGCTAGAGTGCAGTGGCACGATCTCGGCTCACTGCAACTTCCACCTCCCAGGTTCAAGCGATTCTTCTGCTTCAGCCAGCCTCCCGAGTAGCTGAGACTACAAGCATGTGCCACCACACCTGGCTAATTTTTGTATTTTTAGTAGAGATGGGGTTTCACCATGTTGGCCAGGATAGTCTCGATCTCTTGACCTCATGATCCACCTGCCTCGGCCTCCCAAAGTGCTGGGATTACAAGCATGAGGCACCGTGCCCAGCCTTTTTTTTTTTTATACTCAAGAATATTTTTTCTTTTCAGCAATTTATAGCTGACAACAATTTGGTACAATATACCTTTGTAAAAAAAAAAAAAACCTGATTTTCTTTGTCTATCTATCCGATTTATCTAGTTTAGAAATAATTTGTGAGTATTCTTAATTTATTATAATTATTTACATAAGTTCAATAAAAAATCTGTTTTCTTATGTAACGGGACACAATGAAAGACACTAGTTATTTAATGAAGGATTTGACTGGAACAGAATATATTCCAATAAGACTGAACTGCTTTGAGGAATCAAGGTTGACTTTATAGAGTAAATAAAAAGCCTCTTTATAAGGCTGGGTTGGTACCTTGTCTACACAGTTCTTTTACAAGGTTCCTGACCTGTGATAAGTAAAAAAAAAAAAAAAAAAAAAAAAAAAGTCACTTTCTGATAGGCCCAGAAACCGAGTTATTTGGGGATCCACCCCCCACCAAAAAAGAAATTTATCCAGGTATTACAGACAGCCTGATCATAAATCCCTGGCTTGGCTTCCAAGCCTTGAGAGACTTTTAAAAGTCTAATCCGAGATTCCTTGTAAAATTTTTCCAACAAAACCAATTTAAAAAGAATCTATATGGCCAATCACTATTCATACTACATTTTATACAAATAATCAGGCCAAGTGTAGTAAAACTGTAACTTATTTTACAAATAAACTGGTCCTGCTATGATTTTTCTTTAGTAAAAATGGGGGACTAGAAAAAAATTGTTTAAAATAAACTAAAACATACCTGTTATTAGATTCCAGCCTTAATCATTGTTTTTGAGTTTTTATTATTTTCCTACAATTCAGACTAAATCCTAAATTCTTTCCTGGCTATAAGCCTCCCAACTAATGTTTCCAAATTTTTTCTACTTTCTGACTAAAAATTACTAAAATTAATACTGCTTTTGCCTAAAGCCCTATAAGCTAAAGGTAGACAACTTGATAAAAACTTCTTTTAAAAATCATAATAACAACTTAATATACAAACAGCCTTTGAGCCTGACAATGTGTAGACTACTCAAAAGTTCCCTTGAATGCCTGATATAAACTACAGACAAAAAAAAAATCTGTCAGATTGTTACTATCTGCTCTCACTTCATCTAAAGATGCTTCAAGCCTAACATCTAAAAATCTTCTCAATGGGCTGCCTCTTACACTCAAAACCTAAGTTTATAGTTTTTTTCTAACCATTAACTTTTGTTTTCCTTTTGTTTCCATAAAAATGCCTCTTATTCAATATCTGTCTGATTGCTAAAATCATAAAGAAACCCAACTTTGGTAAAACCCCATCTACAAGACCATTGCCTGAAATAAGATGCAACTATTAACTGTTTAACTTGACTGCCCTGTTCTCAAGACTAAGAGACTGCTTCAATTAAATGGCTTATACAACAATCCACCAACCCAATTACTGGCCTGTGAAATTTATTGGGGAAGTTTTAGGCCAGAGAAGTTTGGAAAACAGAAAACAACATTCAACAATGGCCTCAGAAACAGCCTCAGGAAAAAAAAAAAAAAAATGTTTTCTCTGACCTTCTCCTACCCTCCTGCCTCCTGTCGTTCAGCCCCATTCTCCTCCAAGGCTGGCCATACAAACTTGAATCCCTCTTCCACAAGCCACGATAAAAATCAGAACCTCTTTTCCTCAAAGCCAGCCATAAACCTAAAAATTTGACTCCAGCTTTTCTTCTGCCTTTTTGTACAAAAACTGGCAATAAAAAATTATCTGACCCCCTTTCCAGAGAGGGTCCTGTCCCATATCCAGAAGGAAGAAACACATGCTCTGAAAAACCAAGACAAATCTAGACCAAGAGGCCTTGCTATATTGCTCTACTCCATCTATTAACATTAGATAATACCCTATTTTTCCAAACATATTTCTATGCAGCTATCCATACTTTCTTGAACCTAAGCATAAAAATGGACAATTTTTTCTATATCTTTGGGTCTTCATTCCAAAGGATCCTGTTTACACATTAATAAATTTTGAATGCTTTTTCTCCAGTTAATCTGACATTTATGAGTTCATTTCTCAGTAAACCTTCAGAAGGACAAAGTGAAAATTTTCCCTTGGCCCCTGTTCCCTCAAGGCTCATTCCTTAAACCATTAACTCTTGGCTTTGCTGCATGTTTCCACACAAGATACTTGTTTAAGAAAGAAACGACACTTCACTTCTAGCCCTGCAGATCATCCTGCACTCCTCAGCCTCACCAGCCTTCTTCCCACTTAAACCCAGGGCCTAAAAGGAACTTCGCTTAAACAAAATGTTTAATACATTTTGAAGGAAAAATACGGTTTTGATTTAAGAAATACATAGATGGTAGCTTTTGAGATAGACATTTTAAAATATTAAATTTAAGAGGAAAACAGAGTAAAGAATCACAAAGAGCTGTTTTAGTGGAAGTTGAAGATAAGGGAATCTTGTCCATGGACCCAGGCCAGATATAGCTCTCAAGGATTTCTCAAAACCATTTACCTCTCACTTTTCATTGCTACTCCACAGCCTCAGTTTAGGCTCCAGTTATATTTGGCAGACACTACAATCATTGATTCATAATTGGGCTCACTGTAATCAGTCTTAGCCTCTAGTTCATTTTCCACAAAGAAATCAATACTTAAAATGCTAACCTGCCCATCTGAATGGTTATACCTTAATTACACCACAAGGTACAAAGTAAAAAATATAAATCAATACTACTCAAAGCGCTAGCCCAAAATTGTTTGTTATAAATCAATGATTAGCAAAGCACAGAAATGAAGTAAGCATTTAGAATCCTTTCTAGCAATTTGAAATTGCCTTGATATCCATGTATGTAATTTTATATTTTATAAACATATCCATCCACATCATATTTGAAATTAAAAGATAATAATAAAGTAAATTGTCCCCTCACTATACATAGTTGAGAAGTCTTATTCTAACCGTCTTAGCATGACATACAAAGTCAGTATCTGCCACTTGTCAGTCTCTGCAACTGTGCCTTCTGCCTTCTCCAAGCTAGAATTTTATCCAGTAATTTCAACTCACTTGTTGTTCACTACACCCATCAGTAAACCACAGCACGGGGCTGTATCGTATGGTGGTTAAGGATATGGACTCTGGAGTCAGACAGCAGGGTTCCAAATCTGTCCTCTATAATTTACTGTCTATGTGACCTTAGGTAATTCACTTAAACATTCTGTGCTTCAATTTCTTCATACATAAAACTGGGATAGTAATAGCTGCCTCATATGTTTGTGGGACACATGAAATGGTTTCATGCATCACCTAAAATAGTACCTAAAATAAATGTAAAGATCGTTGTAGTTTTTATTATTTTAGTTTCCATTCCTTGATAGTGTGTTTTCTCTGCCTTACTTGCCTTCCTCTAACTTTGCATCTGGCTAGTAAGCAGCTTTAAAGACAAATTACAGTTTGTCTTCTCCAGGAGGCGTTCCTTGATTTTCCCAGGCTGATTTATGTCTTCACTCTGTGCTACCTCATCACCCTGAACCGATGCCTCTATCATGGCATCTATCACATGATATAAGGACCTCTTTATGTGTTTGTTTCTTCTACTTTGTTTGTTAAGTCTTGATGAAGACTTAACACCTATGAAATGCTTAATACATATTAACAGACCCCATAAACATACATATTTAACAGATCCCATTTTGATCCTTAGAAAGATCCATGTTCACACCATCTTACCATTTCAACTGGGCATTGCTTCCTGGAAGAAAATCTGGATGGGAAGAAATAGCTTTAGTGCCCAGAGTAAGATAAATGGGGATTGCAGCCTCTTGGATTGCCCTCCCTGCACTTAGCATTGGCCTTGAGACTTGCAACATTATATATACCAATCCCAAAGAAACTAGCTCAGGTAAAGGCTATGTACAGCAAGACCCATGCCATAAAAATATGTCCCTTCCTCATCTGATTCTTTTATACTGTTCATAATACAAACAGTGATGAGAAGAGATTTACAGTTTTCTTCATAGTTAATCTATTTTCTACTTATTATGCTTCTGACTATAAGCACAATTATTTGAGGAAGCAAAGAAATGCTCCAAATTTTAAATTAAACTAAAAATGAGTTGTGCATTAACAATGGTTATAGCATTCTCTAATTAATTAGACTTCAAGGTGGCACCATTTTCAAAAATCTCCGATTGTCAATATAAAATAGCTAAAACCCCAATTATCAATGACCATGTGAAAAAAAACTGGTACTCAAATACCATTAACAGCCATAATGAAATCTCAAATAATAGTGCTACTGTAAGCCTCTTCATAATCTTTATTAAATAGAGCCTAAAAGGAAAACAAAGATTTGTCTGGGCACAAGTTTCTCAGACAATGGCTAAAGAGCATGCAAATTACCTCAATAGGTCAAAAACTATAAGGAAATCAGGCCTCTGAGGAAAAAATAAAATGAAAAATACAATCAGGTGAATTGATAGGTACTTTTAGTTATCCAGCATAAAGGAGAAAAGCAGGGATACCTGAAAAATTTTAAATTGCAAACAATCTAAAATATTACAGCAAATTATTTCAAGTTTTCTCATATGACTAATCTACTTTTACAAGGCATGAAAAAAATAATACCTACCTGTTTGAGCTTAAGCACTTTTTCATGGTCCTATTCAGTATATAAGTATGTGCAGGAGCTGTAAGAACAAAAGTGCGAGGAGAAAGGATGAAGAAAGCTGGAGGCTGACTGAGCCACTGAATACTGAAGCTTACAGGCACTTTCTTGTCAAAATGCTCACAGATTCAAGGCCCCATGTACAAGGCAAGAAAAAGCACTAGAATTTTAATAATCACTTCTAAAAGAGTATTAATATGATGCATGCTTTTAGAAAACAGGCTTTTTAAATTGCTACTTTATTGAGCAATTTCCATAAAAGATTTCATTATGTTAATTTAAAGATGCGAACAGCAAAAACTGAGAGTAAAATAATTTTAACTTCTCATTTTGTAACATATGGTGTTAAAAAGTGAAGCAGTCAAAAGGAAAGACATCTGAATAATAGGAAAATCTTACAGGTGGTATTTAAGTCAGAAATTTTTCTTTTCTATCTATATTTAGGGATATTTATTAAACTCCTTCCAGGGCAGCGGCACTGAAAGAGATTTTGTCTTACACATCCTTGCAGACATCTAGTGCAAATGTTAAAAACTTGTGCTTCTGGATAATCATACCTCCAGGGTTTTAGCACTGTGTGGATCTGTGTGAATTATTTTGCAAATGCAAATAATGTATCATCTAGAGAAACAGGAATTCAGTAGTTGGAATTTGATGAGATCAAAAGGATAAAAGTGTTTACTTTATAAACTAAATGTTGAAAAGTTTCAGGTAAAGAGCCATGCTTTTTATAAAATTAGTTTAGCAACCCTAATATCAGTAAGAAACAATACAATACCAACAACATGGATGTGCAAAAGGTCATCATTTGTAAGATAAATGATATCCGACATGGTGACAAAGGAAAGTTATGTCAACTGAAACAAGAATGAATACAAATCAGGTCATTCCTGGCTAAGGGTGTCATCAAAACCTTCGTAAAGAAAGAATGGAAAGAACAAGGCCAGCACCAGCACCAGCTCATTCTCTTCTCACTTAAAAAACAAAACAAAACAAAACAAAAAACAAGAAAAACCCACCATGGTAACCCCTAAAAATCAATAGACCTAATGTGCTATTTTTAGCAGTTTAAGCATTTTGCTACTGACAGACCTTTACGGTGGTTCTTCTTGTTGTTTTGCCGCTGTTCTCAGCAGGACATTTATCATCCTTGTATATATACACTGAAGTCATTTTACTTTGGAATGTACACATCTGATTCCCAAAAGTGGTTCACATGGTATGTGAGCTATTCTTGCTCTTTTTTATCCTGAACATATGTGTGTGGGATAGGAGGAATCAAAATAATTAAATTAGTAATGACTTGGTTGTTATTAGGAGAGTTCAGCATCTTCATGAAGTACATTTCCAGAAAAGCATTTAATTCAATAATTTGGTTTACTTAGTGGACCTCTCCTTATTAAAATGGTGAGTGTAATTTCACAAAACAAATAAAAAAGAAAAGAAAAGAAAAAGAAAGAAAGAAATTGACCAGGTCAAGGTGCAAGGGTAACAGTTATAAATATGGCACATACATTTTAGAATGTCATAGAGAAATTTTCATAAGCTGCCTTCTTTCTTATTCTATTCTCATTTTTCTTCTCTTCCCCAGACTTACCCCATGTGCCAGTCATATTTTGTTTGTTTAAAGCCACTACAGTTTAATGAAATATCACACTTTTTCACAAGCTCACTTAGGCTGTGAACAAACTATTTCCTCTGCTGGAACATTCACCTTATACTACCCCTGCTCCATTCCCACCAGATAAACTCTTCCTTCAGCCTTGAAAACTAGGTTTCATGTCACTCTGGTAGGGTAAAGTCCCCCTCCTGGATACGCGTACTTGAATAAAGCTCCATCTTTTAGATAACACATTATCACACTCTATTGTAATGCCTTGTCTGTCTCCCTCATTGCAATGTGACTTTTTGAAGGCAGAGCTGTCTTTTGTCTCTGATAACTTAGTACTTATTATAGTGCAGACTTTCAGATTTATTTTTTTTTTTTACTTAACTGGATGAAAGAGTAATATAGAAAGAAAGAGGGCCATGAACATTAACTATTTAGGCACCTACATTTAACTGACATGTAGAGAAAAAAAAAAGCCTAGTGAGTTGCCCGAAAAAGAAGTATTTAAAGAAGTAAATAGAGAAAGAGGCAATAGATCTGTGGGTATGAGAGTTTGAAAAGGAGAGGAGAAAACATTGTCAAATGCTATAGAAAAAGGTTGAAAGAAAGAGAGAGGAAAAGGAGAAATACTAAAGAAAGCCTGAAGTAAGGACACAATATATTTAATAGCTTTAGTTGGCTATGAAGGCTAAAGGAATAGGTGTTAGCAACTCCTGTGTCTTGGGACTGGAGAATCAACTAAAAGAGTTTTTAGAAAGACATTTAAGGGGTAAGGATGGGGCATCTGAACTTGAATAGATGGAGATAAACTGAAATAGAGGCTGAGAAACAATAAGAAGAGGTGCAAAATAGAGACACTACAATAATGACAAGCAAAGTCTGTGTTCCCACCTTGCCCATATACTCCACATCACCGCAGCCCGCCACCTCCCCACCCTGCTTTACCCTTAGGTAATGGGTATTCCAACAAATTCAAGCTTCAATCTGCCTGGCAGTATGTCTAGTCACATTCCATGTAAATGGAGATTTCTATCCCAACAAAAGTTTTTTCATCATTATTACTATTTAGAAAGCCCAGATTTCTATCCCAACAAAAATTTTATTCATCATCATTACTATTTAGAAAGCCCAGATTCACTTCTTATAAAAAAGAAAAATTAATAATAACAATAAAGTACAATCTGCCACTGTAGCTTCATTTGTTATGCTATGCTTAGAAAAACAGAGATGTTTATGAAGAGCTACTTGTAAGATAAATTTATGTTAAACACTTCATTTATTTATTCATATGTCAAAAATTATACACATAGCTGCAAAAAAAAATAGCTTATACAGGAAATGAGACCAACTAGTAGGCTTTTTTAAAAATGTGACAGAATTATAACCTCCCTGAAGGTGATAAGAAGTGGAAAAATCACAACATAAAGAGAAAATCATCACAGGAAGTGATCCCTGATAAGAAAATCAGTTCTGTAAAGTATAAAATTGCTCTTTTTAATTTTTAAATTTCATGTTTTATAGAGAAGGAATGTCTTATATAGAAATGCAGCTACTTAAAAATTGGAGTACTTCTATCTATGATATAGAAAACTGTATTGATATATTTTCCTTTACTGCAAATGGTAATTACCAGAGCTTTCCTGCTAAAGACCAGTACATTATCATTAAAATAATCATAGCTTTGTTATAATTTATATTGTTTTGTTTAATTTACAAATTAATAATTATGTAATATGCTCACTTTTTTTTAGTAAATTATAAATTTGGTTGCTGAATAAAAATATCGGCAAAAACCATTCTATTGCTCTCCAAAAGCTATAGCCTAATGCAGTTCTTGGCATGCTTCCCATATTTTCTTATGTACCACAGCTCAAATTTTTGTCTAATTCTTAAGACTTACAATTAGGAAGAAGAATGAAATCAAATGATAAACTAAAATAGATGTTTTCTACTGTGGTTTTTAACTTCCTCTGACTCATGCTTTTTCTACTTTAGAAAATGATGTGCTTCTTAGAATGAGCATAAGTCAGAGAGCATCATTAAACTTCTAATAAACCCTACACACCACCACCTAGGATTTAAATTACTTACCTAATGGTGAAAGCTTTCATATATCATCCCCAGTCTCTTGAACATTTGGAGTTTCCTTCATTTTCTGTAGAACAATTTGTTCCTCCTAAGTACAGAATAGCTTGGTGTGACTTGATCACTTAACATATATGGTAGAAAATGTTAAACATGAAATGTATTTTATATTTAGTACTATAAATACTATACTATTAATACAAATTAACTGGCATCTTTGGATTCAATGTCTTAATAGTATACTTGTGAAAAAGATCTTGTGATTAAAGACCAAATAATAATAATAATTTCTCTGGAATTATCAAGCCATGAAAACACATTGCAAAGCAATCCAGATTCAAATATTTATGTTTGGAAATTATTTTATGTTTGTTTCATGCCCTCTCAATTTGCTAACTAGGAGAGAATTCAGAAAATAAATTTTGAGACAAACATTCTATGATACATTAGGCATTTTTTAAGTTGACTAGCTATGTAATAGTTTTATTATTCTCTAAAGCATATTTGCCAGTTTTATCACCATTCTTATAAGATTTTCATAACCAATATCTTCTCTTTTTAGCTTGGGAGAGTTTTAGAATTGTGCTCCCTTAAAAGAGAATGAGAAAAAGATCATTTTGCTCTCTTTTTAATCTCCAGGTTTAAATGTTGCTTGAAATGGTCAATTTTCTCACTGTCAACACATTATATATTAGAGATAGTTTCTTGGAATCAAAGAAAACAGAGAATCTCAGAGAGAATTATCATAAAGTTTCCCTATACATTTTGTCTGGCAGAGAACAGGCCACAATGTATATAGAGCAATAACTCTCTTCCCTTTGAGAAATAAGCTGCTACTGAAGAGTAGCAATGCCAAATTCTCATGGAGTTTTACTAAAATAATTTGTATTGTAGAACTACTGGAACTACTGGAAATAAAAATGTGCTGACCTCTCCCCATTCCTGGTCTGTTCACATAATTTAATTTAGAGAAAGGAGAACCATTCAGTGAGGTAACGATTAAATGAAATCGAAGTTTAAGGAAGTTATACTTTCCTCGCTGTGATTGAGACATAGAAATTGTGATGGTTAATACTGAGTGTAAACTTGATTGTATTGAAGGATGCAAAGTATTGTTTCTGGGTGTGTCTGTGAGGGTGTTGCCAAAGGAGATTAACATTTGAATCAGTTGACTGGCTGAGGCCAACCCACCCTCAATCTGGGTGGGCACCATCTAATCCTCTGACAGCATGGCTAGAAAAAAGCAGGCAGGAGAAGATGGAAGAGCAGACTTTCTGAGGCTTCTGGCCTTCAGCTTTCTCCCATGCTGGATTTTTACTGTCCTCAAACATCAGACTCTCAGTTCTTCACCTTTTGGACTCTTGGACTTACACCAGTGGTTTGCAAGGGGCTCTTGGGCCTTCAGCCACAGACTGAAGGCTGCACTGTAGATTTCCTGACTTTTGTGGTTTGGGGACTTGGACTGGTCCACCGCTGGCTTCCTTGCTCCTTAACCTGCAGACAGCCTATTGTGGGACTTTACCTTTGTGATCATGTGAGTCAACTGTCCTTAATAAACTCCCTTTCATATATACATCTATCCTATTAGTTCTGTCTCTCTAGAGAACCCTGACTAATGCAGAAATCAAGGACAAAAGGAGTTTGGGTGAAAGAAGAAAGTTTTGGTTGAAATAATTTTAATAAACTAGAATTAAGGTTAAAGAGATCTAGAGCTCTGTCATCATTAACTTCTGTGTGAAATAGTGAAGAAAAAGTGAGAAAGCAAGGTAAATAGGAAAGAGATGACTGAAAATGGGAAAAACTGATCATTTGTGCTTTTTTTCTTTCTCTAAATAATTTTTAAAATGGAGAAACTCACAAGGGCAAATAGAACTAGAGATAAATATTCTCCGGTAAGAGTTGTCATCAAAGGTTTGGACTTGTCAAAGGGCAGACAGATAGAAGTAAATGACTTACAGTACAGAGAAAGTTGAGACTTAAGTGCCTATTGAGGAGGAGGATGCCCAGGCTTTCCAGGCTACAGAAATCTTTCTGAAAGGCTTAGAATTTGAGGCACAGAAGTCTTGGGAGCAGGAAGAGTGGGGGCCAGCCTCAGTTTAAAGTCTACATAGAGGTTAGGTTGCCTAAATTCCATCTCTCACCCAACACAGACAACTAAATAATCCTTTCCAACCAGGCAAGAGATGAGTAATTTATTCCCCCAGCAGAATAGAGCAGCAAGTTCCAAGTCTCAGAGACACTGGAAGAGAAATGCAAACCAAAGCTACAAACTGATTTACGTGCATATCAGTTAGAACACCTAAAATTAAAAGGATTGGCAATACCAAGTATTGGTAAGGAAACTGAAACTCTCATGCATTGCTGAAAATGTAAATGTACAGGCACCTTGGGAAACACTTTAACAGTTTCCTATATGTTTAAACATACATCTGTCTTTTGATCCAGCAATTCTACTCCTAAATATTTACCCAAGAGAAGTGAAAACATACATTCACTCAAATATTTGCACAAGAATATTTATAACAGCTTTACTCATAATAGCCCAAACTGGAAACAACTCAGATGTCCAACAGCAATTGAATTGATAAACAAATTATGATTTAATAACATAATGCAATATTACTTAGTAATAGAAGGGAGTAGATTACTTATACAACAGCATGGATGGATCTTAAAATTACTTTGCTGAAAATATATGGCAAACACAAAACGGTATATATTACATGATTTCATGTATATGAAAACCCAGAAAAGGCAAGACATCTATAGAGACAGAAAGCAGATATTTGGGGTTGCCTCTGGCAGGGTTTCAGATGGGGATTGACTACAGACTGGCATTAAAGAACTTTCTGTGGTAATTAAATACTGATTGTGTTAGTGGTTATATAAACATATATGTTTGTCACAAAAACTAAGCTGTGCTTAAAATAAGTGCATTATATTATCCATAAATAATACTTTTAGAATGTTGATTTTAAAAAATAGATCAAAGTAAGTTGCAGTGTGTATTGTTTTATTTAACATTTAAATATTTGCTTTGTAACAGAGAAGACGTAAATGCATTTGAAGATTGAAGGAAAGATTCTACTGTATTAATAAAAACATGTTGATATGAGCAAAAGAAGGAAAAATTGATGAAGCATCATTCTGGAGTTGATGGGAAGGTTCAAAATTATAAGTAGAGGGGCTAGCCCTATAATGGTAACCACCATAGTAACCATTCACTTTGTTAAAGACTCTGTTAAAGATTTATATAAATTGTCTCAATTTATCATCACAATAATCTTATGATGCAGGCAGTATGATTCCCACTTTACAGATGACAAACTTAGGATTCATAAAGATTAATAGAATCCTCAAGGTAGCACAACTACTCAGTGGTAAAACTGGGATTTCAGTTAATGTCTTAGAGCATTTATTTTAGAAAAGTTATAATTGTAAACTCTCTGTCTCTTTGAAATATACATAAATCTTTTCTAAAGCTAAATAAACTTGTCAGCTTTAGGACCAAGGAATGTCTTTCTCAAGGACCTAGGAAGCATGTTTTTGAAATGTAATCACCAAAGAAGATAGGAACCCTACCTCTCACCTTCTGCCTAAGTTTATTGAGTACCTTGCTCCAAGCACCAAAGGTACCTATTGTCATAAAGATAGGAGAAGTTTATTTTTCCTTTGGATACAACCAATTTGTGAACGCATATGGTCCCCCCAGTTGTGAGGTGAACTTAAGATAAACAATGTGTGATAAATGGTGCTGTCCAGGCCTCTTGTGGACTAATAATATTGTTTGTCTTGAGAAAATGTATATATAATGGTCTGCATCTGCTTAGTTATATAAAAGACAGCTATTTTTTCTGTCTTCAACCTCTTTGCCAATTGCTCATGATGTTCATCACACTCTGGTTTAATGTTTATTCAATAATAAAATTGTTTCTCTTCTACCATTCTAAAGAGCTTTTCTGGATTAGGAAGAGATTTTGGTTTTAATTATATCCCCCTAACAAAGATTCATAGCTAATTCCATGTTTTTCATATCTGAAGGCTAGTTTTCAAAAATTTATTTATGGTTTTCCTGAATTTCTAGTTAGCTAAAGCAAGCACTACAAGTTAAACTTACTTTCCCAGAGCAATGGAGAACAGATGGAATGATCTTTTTTTAAGTGAAATGTTTGACATTTCTGCTCATTTTATAGAAACCAGGTGATACATAAGCCTGCAACTCACTATCTGGCATTCATCTGACATACCTTCTTCAATACCCACACTCATCGTGCTATTGTATTTGTACCAAATGTTTAACCACCATTCACTTTTCCTTAATTTCTCTCTTAAATGTCAACACAATGAAGAATGAACCTGCACAATCCATTAAAGAACAAAGCTATGTAAAACATTGCTAATAAGTTACTTGATGTCTGCAATCAACTGCTTCCTTGCCTCTAACTCATTTTGTATGTAGATTGTATCCACTTTCTGTTGATGAATTAGCAGCTTTTACAAGTGAATGGGCAGAAAAGAGAAGCTAAATTGGCTAATAGACACACACACAGTTAGAAAAGTCAATGTATTTTGTGCAGTGAAGAGATTTCTTTACAATTCAAGCTAACGAACTAAATTATACATATTAACGTAATGTAATATTTGTTACTGGATTGTTATCCATTTAAATATGCAAAACCTACACTTTCTCAATGCTCTGTTTCTAAAAAACTCTGCCCTATTGGCTTGATTCAATTAAGCAGTGGCCATCAGCGGCAACTTTAATAAACACTTTTGGTTTCTTTATTGCATAGTGACATGTATTGACATTATAAAGATCAGGGGCCAGGTGCAGTGGCTTACACCTGTAATTCCAGCACTTTGGGAGGCCAAGGCAGGCAGATCACCTGAGGTCAGGAGTTCAAAACCAGCTTGGCCAACATGGCGAAACCCTGTCTCTACTAAAAATACAAAAATTAGCCGGGCGTGGTGGTGGGTGCCTGTAATCCCAGCTACTCGAGGCTAAGGCAGGAGAATCACTTGAACCAGGAGGCAGAGGTTGCGGTGAGCCAAGATTGTGCCACTGCACTCCAGCCTGGGTGACAGAGAAAGACCCCATCTCAAAAAAAAAAAAAAAAAAAGAAAAGAAAAGAAAAGAAAAAAAAGCTTATTGGAACCACAGATACATGAAGATGGCATTATCTATAAGTCCAAATTCTAACTTTTATTCAGGCCCCAAGAAATGACTCTTGGCTTTGGATTCATATCAGTAACATCTAACAATAGGAAATAAGAAATACATATAAAATATTTGGTCCAGTAGTAATTATACCTGGACATTAGGAGTTGCCATTCTACCTGCACAGGAAGAGCCTGCCTTATTGAGTTGCAGTCACCAGTCTTTCTGGCAACATAAAATCAGTAACCTCATGGGTCAGTTAGAACCAACTCAACATTGTACTTCCTATGGAAAAGAGGATGAGCCAAAATATGTGACAGCTCTATGTCAGCTTTTCACATTGTTAAAATACATGATTCCTCTCCTTTCACACTCTGAAAGAAATGAGAGAGATGTGGAGTTGTCAGATATTTGGGACTTAGCCATTCATTAAACAAGAAGTGTTGTATTAAATCAGTGATTTTGCCTGCCTGAAATGACCTAGAGTCTAAACAACCTCCCAGTAATGTAACAGCTATCACTTTTCTATATCTATTTAACATGAAAGTCTAATAATTATCATTATAACTATTATCTGCACTCAGGACTTTCCTGTCTCGTGTGTGTGCGTGTGTGTGTGTGTGTGTGTGTGTATGTGTGTGTGTATTTTCATTCCCTATGTTTAAAAGTTCACTTTCAAAATTTGCAAGAAAATTGTCCCACGTCTCAGCAAAGATAAACCATTGTATTTGTTTTTAAAAACACTATACAAAGCAGAAAACTGTCTTTGGTGAAGAAATAACTCATTGTTGTTTTTGCTCTTGATTCATTAATCATTTACTTGTATTTCCAAGAGCAAACGAGTGGATGCCCTCTACCAAGAATAAATAAAAGACGTTGGCAAAGCTACCTGTCATATAGTTATAATGTGGACAAAGACTGAATATTAAAAATATACTTTGTAAAATTAAGATATGATCTGCACATTTCCAATTGTGCTGTCTTCCAGTATATCTTCAAAAACTGTATTTTAAAATTCATAGCCAAACATAAGCATGTCAAAACTAAATCTTCCTTTTAGTACATAAAAAACTAATATACTATTGGGAAAGACAAAACAATCAGGCTAACTTAACCAATACTTTTTTTCCTCTACTAATAGTGATAGAGGTAGGAGGCAGAGAAATTCAAGGCAGACAGGGGTGGGTCCCCAGCAAAACGCCGCCTTCAAGCCAAAACACCTGAAACCCATGGCCCAAAGTGAGAACTTCCATCCCTGTGTGCCTGCCCTTTCCCAGTTGGTTCTTTCTGAATAATGTCTTTTTACAAATAAAATGTTGTCTTTTCCAAAACTACCTATGGCCCACTCTGCCCCCCTCGCCACCCCCAACCCCCAACATCCTGTGCCTATAAAGACCTCAGACTCAGCCAATAGAGGAGAGAAGCTACTGGACACTAGGGAGAGGTTACTTGACTTCAGAGATGGCAGCTAGACGTCGAAAAGAGGCAACTTGACTTTGGAAGAGAGGCAGAGAGGAGGCTTGACTTCAGGAGAGCGTGACCTGCCCTTCCTATCTCCTTTCCAGCTCCCCTCTCCGCTGAGAGCCACTTTCATCACTCAATAAAATTATCCTCATTCACCATCCTTCAATTTATCTGCATGACCTCATTCCTCTTGGGCACCAGACAAGAATTCAAGATGCACCAAGCGCAAGTACGCAATAAGGCTGTCACAGTGGCCCTTTGCCCTTGCTGGCAGAGGGCAGCCTCCCCATGTGATGAGAAAAGGGCCCACTGAGCTGATAACACACTGCTGTCCATGGGCAGCGGAGCTAAGGGAACATTGTAACATGCCCTCTGGGGCCTTGGGGTCACCAGGCACCCCCACCCGGATGATGCTGCGGGGCCTGTATAGAGTTTGATCCTGCCAGCACTGAAGCAGTGGGCCAGTTCTTTCACTCATTCGCTCTGCTTCCCATATTGGTTCACCTGCACGCTGCCTCCCACGAGGGGTTGAGCAGGGCAGCTGAGTAAATGGGGCATCACTGCTGTGAGTTCCACAAAGGGGTCAAGAAAACATCCTGCATCAATAGGAATCATTCCTTTTCTTATCTTCTTTTACTCTCAATGAGTAAAAATCAGGATTTCTAATGATTTTTTTATATGTTCAACAACTTCACAGCAAGAATGAAAGACCCATTGGGTAGGGAGATTTTGGCTGTTTTCAAAGAGGAAAGGTGGGTTGTAGTGAAAGAATTACTGCCATGGCCTTCTCAGTGGCCTCCCTGTGACACCTCCCAGACATGTCACCATTAGTGATTCATGTGGGGGCCACAAAAAACTTTATGCATAAAACTATGCATGATCTTGCCAAGGAGACAAGAGTCCCAATGATTCTTTTCCTCTCATGTGAAAGTCTGTGTGCATTCAGTGTGGAGATGTGGGAATTATGTCCTACGCAGCTAATTTTCATCTAACAGTCACTGAAAATCTATTACATGCAAAGACGTTCATAGTCATTTCTGGACCACTAGAAAAGAAAGGTAAAGAAAACTATTATAATATGATATGATATGAGATTTGATAGACATAACACAGGTGTTGGTAACCTTCTCCGAAATTACATGATTTCTAGTCACTAGTCTCTACTCTGGAACCTGCTTTGATCCAAACAGGTACTTAGAATGTAGCAAATTTAACTCTCTTAGGTTCCATAACCAAACTGTCACCTTAAGAATGTGATTTCATAAAAGGCTATGTCCATCTTTCTGCCAAAATTCATTGCCTGCATGCAAATGTAGTCACACCCTATTTACCACAAAAATATCATCAGAAATATAATACTAAAAATGTCATCCTGATGTTGCATATTTACTTCCATTAACACTTTCCATTTCAATTTTTTTCAACCTCAACCCAGGCTAATTCAAGCTGTGATCATGTAGGTTCTTACATCAGCAACATTTGTCACCAAAAATAAATATTCTGCAATCAAAACTTAACTGGCCTAGCAATTTGTTGGTGATGCATGAGGCAGAACCGAATTCAGCTTCATTCTTCCTCAGCTAAATTGACTTTCCAGCACTAAGAGCAGGAGAGATTTATGTGTTAGTAAATTAAGCAGAGCTACCCCAGGGAAAACAAAAGACACAAATACATGCAAGCCCACAGTATTCTTTGATATTCAGTTTTGCTCCTATGCAATGTAATATATTTTAACAAGTTGGGAGACATAGATAAAATAAGAGACAATGCTCCTACTTAAAATAAACTTTGAATTTCAGATGTAAACTGTTTAACAGCTTAACATGTGATTTGTCATCTTATTAAATCAAGAAAGAACTGAATACTCTTACTAAACGGTGGTAAACATTAGTAATTATAAAATCTCTAGCATATTTTCTTTCCTTTAAATAAATAACGTTTTCTGCTCCTGTTGCATCATTTCAGTTTACAAAGCAATGTTATACATATTACTTTATTCAATCTTGAAAACAACACTTCCAGACTGTGGCTCTGGAATTATCATTCTTATTAAACAGATGGAAAACTGTAACCTAGAAGTTAAATCAAGAAAACAAACCTAAGAACATGCAACAAGAGCCTGGAGAAAAATTAACACTCTCTCTTCTTATTCATACCACATACAGTTGATTCTTGTTAATCATGGTAACTGTGTATGTTATGGTTATATAAAATCACCACAAACACTGAATTAATGAATACTGAACCATTGTTTCTATGGGAAATGCAGAGTTAGGTTCCTGTGAGCCTGTGCTCACATTTTTATCAACTGACCAATATAGAATTTTGCTTTATGTATATTTCTGTTTAAAATCACATTCAGTATATATTGTTGATTCAGTAACATTGAACTTATGGCCAACAGCACTATAATTAATGCCTGAATGAAATTTACCTAGCATACCTACATTCTCCATAAGGCATGTCCCAGTCTTTTGCACTTAGAAACACTAGAGAGCACTTCAGAACTATGCTTGGGGACTATTAAACAACAAAATGATGAAAAAATACAAAAAAAAGAAAAAAACCACACACACACACACACATTAAATAAACTACCAAAACACCCACTTGTTTACCATAGGGGAACAGAAACAGGAAGGCGAAGTGTCTCTTTGTTCACCTTCAGCTGGAAACAAGTGCTTTGGGTGACTCAAATTTTTGGCCACTCTTTACATATATGTGCATGTCTGCAAATAACCAAGCATTGATTTTAGGGTTCCAGATAAATTTCAGTGAGTAGGTAAATTCACAATATACAGTTGATCCTCATTATCTGTGGAAGATAAATAACATATCTATCTTATGAAGATGTTTATATATTCATCTTAAATGACAAATTTAGAGAAAGAAAAGGGAAAAATACATTTACCTGTCTATACTCTTAATGTTAACAGCAATGTTACAGTGATAATTGAAAATACGTTGGAATATAGATGAAGGGTGTGACTGCCCATGAAGATGTTGTACATGTTTAACCCTTCTCTTGACATTTGACTGTTTTATGCTGAGGGAAACCTGGAGATGAAGGGAATAATAATAGATGTAGGGAGAGGGAAGAGTTTGAATTTGGATTTACCCAAGCTGAACATTGACTAAACTGATTCTGAACAGATTCTAAAGAAAATAATTATATATTAGTCTGGGTTCTCCAGAGAAAGAACCAATAGTTCTTTAAACAATATATCTGTATATTTATAATAGAATATATATTTCATAAATATCTTTATCTAGATAGATATAGAGTAATGTATCACTTAATGAAGATACATTCTGAGAAATGCATCATTAGGCAATTTTGTCATTGTGCAAACATCATAGAGTGCACACACACAAACCTAGACAGTGCAGCCTACTACACCCTTTGACCATATGGTATAGCCTATTGTCCCTAGGCCACAAACCTGAGCAGCATGTTACTGTACTGGATACTGTAGTCAATTCTAACATAATGGTAAATATTTGTATATCTAAACAAAGGAAAAGTGCAATAAAATATGGTACAAAAGATTTTTTTTAAGTACACCTGTATAGGGCACCTACCATGAATGTAGCTTGCAGGACTGAAAGTCAGTGAGTGAGTGGTGAGTGAATGTAAAGGCCTAGGACATTACTTTATACTACTGTAGACTTTATGAACACTTTACACTCAGGCTATACTAAACTTATTTTTTAAATAAAGTAATTGCACTATGATGACAGGTATGATGTCACTAGGTGATAGGAATTTTTCAGCTCCTTTATAATCTTACAAGACCACCATTGTATATGCAGTCCCTCATTGAGATGTCATTATGAAGCACAAGACTTCATATCTATTAGATATATATTTATTGTTTCTAGATAAATGGATAGAGATTTGTTATACAAAATTGGCTTACACAATTACAAAGGCTGAGAAGTCCTAGATTGTGTAGTCAGCAAGCTGGAGATCCAGGAAAGCTGATAGCATAGTTCCAACCTGAGTCTGAAGGCCCAAGAACCATGAGATCTGGTGAAGTAAGTTCCAGTCCAAGTCTGAAAGCAGTAAAAGATCAAAGCCTTAGCTCAAAGGCAGTCAGAGGAGAGGAAATTTCTCTTACCTGGCAGCGTCAGCCTTTTTGCTCTATTCAGGCATTGACTGGATGAAGCCCACCCCAGTTTCATGGGGAGGGCAGTCTGCTTTCCTTGTCCTGCTAATTCAGATGTTGGTCTCATCCTAAAACACTCTCACAGGCACACTCAGCATGATGTTTAACCCAATATCTGGGAATCCCATGGCCCAGTTAAGCTGACATACAAAATTAACCATCACTAGATTACATTCTCTTATTCAGAAACATGTGAAATACATTTAAAAACAAATCTACAGAGAATAGTAAACAAGAACGAATGGAGCAGAAAGGAAGAATGTAACTGACATATAGCTTTTGATGTTATTAGGTCAAGACCTTCACAAGCTGGACCTTCAGTTTGAATTCGTGTGCACAATTCATGTATCAGGAATAACAATTCACAACATAACACGTAATTACATTCCATTTTCACTGGTCTTTTTTTTAAACTGTGTTATTCTTTCTCTACATTGTCATGATTTTATCTTTTAAAATAGAAAAATCTTTTGGTCATACTCATTCACAGATTTCTTAGATTTTTATTCCATTTATGAACAAAAGAAAGAAATAACTTTGCAAACCTACTATGTTCAAGTCCTCAAAACCAAATCATATATAAAAGTTAAGGATATTACTAGCAGATTATCCTAAAGGATAGAATAACATTTTGGCTTTATCTCTTTTCATTCATCCAATCAAAAACCTAAAAAAAATTAATTACACATATACGTTTTTGATAATTAAGCAAAATATATACCAACTAATTTTTCTAGAGGGTTACGGTCAGTGTGGAGATGCTTCAGTGATTGTGAATTAGAAAGCCAGTCATCAGCCTCTAATTTGTCTTCTGCTGACCAAGGGCTATGGCTTTGACACTGAGGTGATCTTGCTCATCTCTGGATTTTGAAGACCTGGGACTACATATCTGCTAAATGCTTTTTTTGAATCAAAGTGAATTAAGAGGTAGGAACTACAAGAAAAGTCTGACTTTCTCCTACACTAATGTAATTTCCACTTTAGGAACAATAGTAACCTACTTGGTGACCATGCTTTAGAAATCACACTTCCTGGGAATTTGAAAAGACACAAATAACAAAGAACCAAGAAGAAACATGTCACTTTCAGTGAAACTGTTGCTTGAGAAAATAGAATTACACTAACCATGAAAAGTAAGACCTCAAAAGTGGGAAATTCTCTTTACCACCCCTGTCTCCAAGGACCCACAAGGAAGCTACAGAGAAAAGTAAAATAGCTGAATGTGGTACCTATTATGTCAAGAAAATGAAGAAATCATCCAGGAAATCATCTTATAAAATCACAATAACTGCAGTCTAAATAGACATTTAACAGTAGAAATCAAATGGAAATGTGTTCATATGGAAAGGTGCTAGAATGGTCAAAAATCAACCAATAAGCCTTGGGGTAATAAAGAAACAAGTCACTGTGAACAGTGTTGTCATGATTGATTTAAGACTTTGGCAGCATAACACGTTCTATTTAAATACATTTTTTCCATAATTCTCTCTCTCTCAGACCTGTAACTTCCAGAATAAGTATTAACTACAAGGAAAAGATAAAAATTTTGTTGAGATGGTTTGCATTTTAATATGTTAATACTTTGGATACGAAATATGAATTAAACATAAAAAAAGTTTACCTATTCTTTTTAGGGGCCTCAGAAGCAAAAATAAATAGGTTTCCAAAAGAACAAATAAATACATGGGTTTTGTATTTAATCACATATGTGAGATTACACAGGACACAATAATAGACAGCTGCTTGTTCAGACTGATTTTTAAATAAATGTCCTCATTTCAGTACAAGCAAAATAAAGAGAACATTGATCAATGTTTGGCATTCAAGATTTTTCTTTATTAAAACATCAGCAAGTTACTAGTTCCCTATCTGGAAACTGTGTAAATAGAAATCCTTCCAGGAGCTGTAAATTTTTTTTCTATTACCAAACCTTAGAAAATTTCTGTATAAACTCTCAAATTGTTTCTCAAAATTATTATTTTGGAAACAAGGTTCTTGTGATTTACTTAGCAATAATGACAGAGAACATTACAGATAGTGAAGTCATTGAAATTACAACTTAAAGTTTAGAACAGAAATGAAGATTCATTTTTTGAAAGCTAATGTGAAAGAAACTTATTACTAGACTGAAAAGCAAAGACTTCTGAAACAAAAAGCAATATTTAATGTAGCTTGTCTAAATGACCAAGTGAAAACTATATATCAGGTTGTTGCAAAAGTTATTGAGTTTTTCACATTAAAAGTAATGGCAAAAACTGCAATTACTTTTGCACCAACCTAATATATACTAAGCAAAATGAAATCTAATTATGCAGGTTCCAGGATAGATCACTCATTGTTGAACAATTGACTGTCAACTACTATCCAGGGAATTTTATAGACAATAGGGGTAGATTATACAGACATATTCAACCCAATGGCAGAGACATTATATCACGCTTAAAAAAAAAGAGAGAAAGAAGTGCTTTCTCTCTTAGCTATAAAACAGCAAAAAAGAAATTCTAACAGAGATTAGTCATCATGTTCAATGAAATTAATGCAAAAATACTCAAAGACAATCTCCACCATTACTTCATTTTTCCTTCAGCCTACAAAATGAACAACGTCTACATTTTTAGGAAACGTCATGAAATTTTGCCCAATTATCTCATTCTGTGTATTTCTCATATGATTCCTTTTGTTGTCTATACCTCTTTTTAGTATCATCTACTGTTAGAAACAAACAACTAAAAAAGAGTTTCTTTTTTGCACAACTCTTTTGTTGATTAAATGTGGGTTAGCTAGTTTCAGTACCTCAATGGCAACTGGAGTCTGTTCCTATTTCACTGTGTGTGCTTCAACAATCAGGGACAGTATGGGCGTGTTAGAAAGTCATATGATTAACTAGCCTTGCATTCAACATACTTCAGAAGGCTCATGAAGCACGGTACTAACTAAGAGTCAGAAGTCCTTTGCCCCTGAAAATAACAATATAACACAGGAACTGAAACAGGAAAAGTTCCCTAATCCCCATCACAAGGCGTGTGATGAGGTGTGGCTCACTTCTTTGGTGCCTCACTGCTAATACCCCTAGGCGGAGCATGCAAACAGGCAGCTCATAGGGAGCGCTGACCCCACAGCAGTGTCTAGGGTTGAGTGCTCGCAGCTCCCAAAGCCCCAGCGTGCGTGTGCTATAGTGCACTCTTTCAGCTTTGCTGTCTGCAGGTGGCGTGTGTTAATCAGCTCTATTAGACCCTCAGCCTTATTGCAAGGACAGAGGGCTTTCTGTATCCCCGGTACTTGCCTTAGTGTACCGGAAAAATCAGATCACATGTGGACCTAGAGAATGAGTGCACGGTTTTATTGAATGGTGGAAGTGGCTCTCAGCAGATGGATGGGAGGCCAGAAGGGGAATGGAGTGGGAAGGTGGTCTTCCCCTAGGGTCGGGCCACCCAGTGGCCGGGCTATCCTCCAACCACACTTGGCCAAACTCCACATCGTGTCATTGTAGATGGCATGCCAGCATCTGCTCATGTTTTTCGGTGTGTTCTTCTGCTGATGTGTTCCTCTCAACGTCCGGTCACTTGTGTCTGTGCCTGCTAAGGTCTCGGAGTTTTTATAGGCACAGGATGGGGGCATAGCAGGCCAGGGTCATCTCGGCAAATGCAACATTTGGGTGCAAAAACAGGAGTGCCTGTCCTCAACTAGGACTATGGGCACAGGCCCGAGGATGGAGCCCTCACCAAGAACCCTGCCCTTCTCCCAGCACTTCCCAGCCCCTCTCCCTTATCATTTTCCTCCTCTGAAGAAGTACATCTAACTGCCATTAAAATATGGATGATGATCGGTCTTAGCTGCTTCCTGCTGACAGGGCCATTGTTTTGGGTAAAATGGCAGTCAGATTCCTCCCAGAGGTTAATCTAACGGTTCCTTGCAAAGGGGAGCCATCACCTGAGGCTCTGGTTGCCTGACCATTTGGAGTTTGATGGCTTCTAGGCATGAGAGAAAAAAAAAAGTTTTATAAAGTTAAGTATGCATGGTTTAAACATGTGTATTATACAAGGAAAGAATTTAGTGCCAAAGATTACAGAGATAAGAAGTGAAATATACTAACAACAACATTGTACCCAGAGCTGTTTCTGGTGAAAAAAATTAAACCTTGTGGCTGGGCGCAGTGGCACATGTCTGTAATCTCAGCACTTTGGGAGGCCAAGGCGGGTGGATCACAAGGTCAGGAGATCGAGACCATCCTCGCTAACATGGTGAAACCCCATCTCTACTAAAAATACAAAAAATTAGCCGGGCGTCGTGGCAGGTGCCTGTAGTCCCAGCTACTCGGGAGGCTGAGGCAGGAGAATGGCGTGAACCCGGGAGGTGGGGCTTGCAGTGAGCCGAGATCGGGCCACTGCACTCCAGCCTGGGCCACAGAGCGAGACTCCGTCTCAAAAAAAAAAAAAAAGAAATTAAACTTTGTATGGAAGCGGTTAAACTTTAGAAGAAAGATAACTGTTCTTGCCACATCTGTAGCCGTTAACAGGTGTACACTGAGAATTCTGGGGTTTTTGGCCTTGCACAGTGGCCATTCAAGCTTTTGCCTCTTTCTTGTGTTTCCCTTTCTCTACTGTAAAAGACTGAGGTGGCCGCTTTCAGGAGGTCTTCTAATGTACTATCTGGTCCTGGGGCCTGTTTTTGTAGCTTCCTCCTGATGTCAGGAGCTGCCTGAGTAATAAATTTATCCTATAGGGTTAGCTTTCCCTGGACTCAATCAGGAGATAGAGAGGTGTGCATTACCAAGGCCTCTCTTAGCCTCTCCAGGAAGGCAGTGTGATTTTCATCAAATCCCTGGTCAATCATAGACAACTTAGTATAATTGAGAGCTTGGTCTTAGTCCTACGTAAGCCCTCCATTATGCACACTTGAAAGTGTCTCCTCTTCCAGTCTCCCATCTCATCATTGGGATCCCATTTAGGGTCATTCACTGGTACTGCTTCTCTTCCAGATGGATACTGTTTTTTCCCTTCTCTGACGCTATATGTGGTGCAAAGCTCATCACCAAATCTCTCTGCTGCTTGCAGAGTGGCCTGTTTCTCAGTGTCTGTCAGGTTCTAATTCAAAAGTAACATAATGTCTCTTCAGGAGAGTTCAAATATTTGGGTGAAATTCTGGAAAGCCGCTATATATCTATCAGGGTCATCTCAAAACTTGCCAAGATCCCCCTTAATTTGCTTTTACTGGGTCCAAATTCACTGGGCATTTGTTGAAGGGGCAAGAGTGAAACTGGGGCTTGTTTAGGGTGAGGATTTTTAGGAGGGGGTGAGTGAGATGCTGAAGCTGAATAGGGAGGTCAAGGTGGACCCGGAGGAGCAGGGCTTGAGGGACCTGCTTCCTCTGCTGGGAGTGCCTCCAGAGCTCTTTAATTCCCCAGGCTTACCCCTTGCAGTCTTTCCTGAGATGGAAAGCAGGAGGGCTGGATCAACTCTACACTATCAGCAAAGGTCTGGATTGCCTTGCAAAGTATAGAAAGCCTGCACATTTGGGGCCTCGGACCATCTGTCCTCACATCTACAGAAAAGTTCTAAGTGCTGGATGATATTGAAATGAATGGTTCCTTCCTGAGGTCAAGTCTGTCCTTGCTGTAAATCATAATTTGGCCAAACCATTGTTCAGAGAGCTATGAATCATTTTTCCTACAGATTCTGAGGGTCAAAACAGTCCCAATAGTTCAGGATACACTCCAGAAGAATAAGTTGGGGGTGGTGAAGACAGCCAGTTGACCATTCTGAAAGACAGTAAATAGAGGTTTACTTCATTCCCTTCCTTCTTTCAGCAAAAACACAGGGTGTGATGAAGAGAGAAAGCAAAGCAGGTATCCTCCCTTCCCTTCCACCTCTTATCCCTGAGTCCTGGTGACCTTGACAGGTGCTAGCCATAGATACCCATGAGGTATCTGCCCACGAAGCAGGGAAAACCTAGAGAATGGGAATTAACCGCCATCACCTATGCCTCCATTTTTTCCTGCTGTGGACAACCTTTGAGTTCCCTGGGCCTGTTTATGCCATGGAGTTTTTCTTTCTAGGGCCACAGCCTGAAGCTTGGAATCGAGTTTGGGACTGAAAAGGTATTTCAGAGGCTGTTTGTACCTGTTTAGAGTGTGTCAAATGAGCCCTGCCAAATGTGCAGTTATCAGCCAGAAGGGGCTGTTCCTCCATCAACTTCCCTATCAGAAACAGAGTGCTGGGAGGGGTCAGTCCTCTCACACGAAACGGAAAAAGAGAAAAACAGTATAAGGGGCAAAAGGGAAGGTCCTGGGGGAAGAACGCCTTGTTCAGTGCAAGTGAGTCGCTTTAATCCCTGTATCCTTCCCCAGTTCAGACCCGGTTGAATTCCTCGGCCAGGATAGAAATGCTCTGTTGGCACGGGGGACGAGACGTGCCCTGTGGGGTCCTGGCCACCGCCGTGGTTTTCTAATGCCCCCCAACCCCTGTGGCTGTGCTCAGGCACCCGAGCTGGGAGGGGAGAGGGTAAGGGGAGCTGTCTTGAGCTGCGTGGGTCTGCAGCTGTTGGGGTGGAAGTGAAGATGGCACCTCTAGGAGCAATTGGTCTGATTTGCACCTTTGATGGCTGCACTCATTTTACTTAGTAACATGGCTGCAGCCTGTAGCAAAACTCCTAACATTATAAAACAAGAGATAAGAGCTATTTCAAACTATGAGAAAGAGAAAATAGACGAAGTCTGGGTGTTTTGACTAGCCCGGTCAAGGCAGTTTAAAACTCCGTGAAGGTAAATAGAGCCTGTTACTTGCAGGAAAGAGAGAGAGATGGCAGGGTTTTGGAAAAGAGACAGATCTGACAGTTGTGCATTCACACTCACTTTCCAGGATCCCAGATAAGCCCTAGTTGAAATGGGAAAAATTCCCTTATACCCCTTGCAGGTCCTGCGATGAGGGCGTGGCTCACTTTTTCAGTGCACCACTGCGCATACCACTAGGGAGAACATGCATATGGGGAGATGATGGGGAGCATGGGCTCCAACCCCGCAGCAGTGTCTAGGGTTGAGTGTCTATAGCTTCCGAAGCCCCAGTGTGCGTGTGTTACAGTGCGCTCTTTCAGTTTTGCCATCTGCTGGTGGCATGTGTTAATCAGCTCTATTAGACCCTCTGCCTTATCGCAAAGAAAGATGGCTTTCTGTATCCAGGTTCCTGCCTTAGTGTACTGGAAAAATCAGCTCACACATGGGCTTAGAGAATGAGTGCAAGGTTTTATTAAATGGTGGAAGTAGCTCTTAGCAGATGGATGGGGAGGCCAGTAGGAAGGTGGTCTTCCCCTGGAGTCGGGCCACCCAGCTGCCAGGCTCTCCTCCCACCGCCCTCGGGCGAACTCAGCGTCATGCCGCTATAGATGGCCTGTGGTGTCTACTGCTGTCTACCAGTGTGTTCTTCTGCCGGTGTGTTCCTCTCGACGTCCAGCCACTTGTGTCCAGCCCGCTAGAGTCTTGGGGTTTTTATAGGCACAGGATGGGGGCATGGCAGGCCAGGGTGGTCTTGGGAAATGCAACATTTGGCATGAAAACAGGAGTGCCTGTCCTCACCTAGGACTGTGGGCACAGGCCTGAGGGTGGAACCCTTGCTAGGGACCCCAGTTTTCTCCTCCCAGCACTTCCCTGCCTCCCGTATCAGAACCATGAATCTAAAAGCACTTAACATTTTTTTAAATAGAATTTTTGGACAGTTTATGGGTATTAGTATAGACTTTACCACTGTTTCACTGCGTAGTTTAGACGTCTTTCCTGTGTCTCCAATTTCTCCTCAGTGAAAGGGGGAACATTATTAATGTATTATTTCCAGACATGATTATTTTACAAAACTTATTTATATAAAAGTATGTTTATGTAACAGGAATTGGAGAAAAGTATTTAGACATTTCACGGAATCACTATTAAGTTGTAGAGAACCTGAATCCCAAAGCAATGTTGAAGAATTTTAAACATATGATCCTACTTGTGTGTGCTAAAAATAACAAGAAAAGTCAATCTGCAAGCTACTTGAAAAACAAAGACAACTAAGTCTCTATGAGTGGGAAAACATCAGCATAATTTATTAAATACACATTCACCACTTTGGAAGGCCAAGCTGGGAGGATCACTTCAGCCCAGGAGTTCAATACCAGCCTGGACCCCATGGTGAAACCCAGCCCCTACAAAAAATACAAAAAAAAAAAATTGCCAGGTGTGGTGGCAGGTGCTTATAGTCTCAGCTACTCAGGGCAACAGAGGAGACCCTGTCTCAAAAAAAAAAAAATTAACGTCTTATTTGCCTCATGCTTAATCTTATTTTCTTCATGCTTAATCAAGAAAAATCTACAAAGCATGAAACATAGAGTCTGGAACATGGTAGATATATAATAATGCTGATCGCCAGCCTATTCACCCAGGTGAGAGGCAGGAGATACTTCTCTCTTCCGTTTTCTTTATCTCCCTCTGCTCCTGTTTTCTGTATGTTTATGTGTACATAATAAGATCCTTTCCAGACCTATCACCACACTCACTTCTGCAAAGCCTTCCCTTGATCTCCAAGCCACCTTGTACTACTTAATACCTCAAGCATTTACATGGTTTGTACCTGATTGTGTAGTTTGTACCAAGTAGTTCTTTATGTCTAGGTATCTTATCGCCAAATGAACTTGTAAGTCCTTTGAAGACAGAAACTATAGATTCATTGCTTTCTATGATACCTATATTTAACTGGTTTATGTATGCATAAAGACACACATGCATACACACACAATGCTTACTCAATATCATACTATCCGATTATTCTGCCTCTATAACTAAAGGACAGAGGTGATGGACCGAAGACAAGTTGTAGATGTGATCTCCGCTTTACTAGAGTAAATGTGGTAGTTCTGTTACATATAATACACACCAATAAACTGGGAAAGTTACTTTCTGAAGATCAAAAAAGAGGAAATGGGTTCTAGCTATAACAAAGAAGATTTTTGTCCATTTCCTGAGGATAAAGTGCAGCTGATCCTTGAACAACATAGGTTTGAACTGCATGAATCCACTTTTAGGAGGATTTTTTTTTCAACCAAAGTGGATCAAAAATGTATGTACTGGATCTATGTATGTGAAACCCATATAAGGAGGGCTGACTTTATATTTACATAGGTTCCACAGGACTGACTTTGGGACTTGAATATGTGTTGGTTTTGGCATATGTGAAGGTCTTGGACCAATCCCCAAGTATATAGAGAGATGGCTATAATTATTACACGATCTGAAATGACTATATCCTATATGAGTAGTTTGATGATTTTCTCCATCGGTGTGGTCAATTTGATATACCAATCAAAATTATTACAAGCTAAAAATTTTAATTCAAAAATATTATATACTTTTACCAATATCTTGAATGGAGATTTGTCAATACTTCAGTGGAGACACTCTCCTCTGTTGATTTCTGTTGGTACTAGATTCTCAAATGACTGATTTCTAAGTCAGAAAAACTGAATGGCTTTAAAAGTTCCATCACAATTTTAAGAATCTACAAAATTTTGTTTCTAGGCACATTATTTGATGTCCATCTCAAAATCAAACAGCATAAAGAACACTAACATGAAGTAATTTTCTACATGTGCAAAAACATAAGTTAGATGAAAAAACATCTTCAAATGTGTTAAAATTTGTTTTTCAGATGCATCTTGTTTTTAAACGAAATGTCAGTATATGATTATAAAGTTCTAAATGCACTATTTTAATCAAGTATAGGAATAAATCATGGACTTCAGGGCAAAATGTTATTTCATCCAGTGCAAGCAGAAAATAATTCCCAACAGAGAAAATAAATACTGTAAATGTGAGGTAAAAACCAAGTCTCATTGTATTCAAAGAAACTAAGAAAAAATCTTATTTCCCTTCTGCAGTCCCTCTTGACTGATGGTCCTTCACTCTTATATGTAGAAAATCACACAAAAACCAAAAGAAATTGTAGTATGTCTTGAGATGAAGTATCATACATCCATTAAAATAATAATTATGACTATTAAAACATAAAATTATTAATAAAAAATACAAAATCATGTACAATGTTAATAAATATGTAAATTTGTAAGTGCATTTTGTATTAGTTTAGCAAAATTGTTTAATTATGACAAAATGTATATTTAAATAAAAGAACAATGAGAGTAAAAAGTTTTGTTAGAATGACATGCCTCTGGCTTTAGTTTTTACTTACATTTTTTAAGATACTTAAATATTGTCTCCTAATTAAAGTTGACATTTAAAAGTATTAACTTTAAAATAAAGCTGTTTTCTAGAAATATGTCTTATTGAAGTCTACATTTAATAGAATTTTTTTTCTTTTCTGAAAATTAAGTCAGTGCCATCTTTAGACTTTTGACATATCTATTCTCTAAGATTTACAAAAGATGGTAGCTTTTTAATCACACCAAAGAAGTTGGCTTTTAATTGCTAGTTCAATAGACTTCTCGGTTTTTGTTCCTAAGTTTCCCTGCAACCATTGATATTACTGAACACACTAGACTTTATTAAAGATTTATCTTCTCATCTGGGCACAGTGGCTCACGCCTGTAATCCCAACACCTTGGGCCACCGAGGCGGGCGGATCACAAGGTCAGGAGTTCCAGACCAGCTTGACCAACATGGTGAAACCTCGTCTCTACTAAAAATACAAAAATTAGCCTGGCATGGTGGCACGTGCCTGTAATCCCAGCTACTCAGGAGGCTGAGGCAGGAGAATCGCTTGAACCCAGGAGACAGAGGTTGCAGTGAGATGAGATCCAGCCTGGGCAACAGAGTGAGACTCTGTCTCCAAAAAAAAAAAAAAAATCTATCTTCTCTTGGTGTCTGTCTCCATTGTTTCTTTACACCATTTCTTTTCTGCTTACCTACTGCCCTAAAGCTAAACCTGCTTCAAGAGTGGAAACAGATTTCAGAGATTCGTCCTCTTTTCTCAGATATTTTTCTTTATTTAAACTCTTTACTTCAGCTATATATATTACATCTAATGTGAGGATGTACAGATTGAATCTCCAACCACACAATGTCACTCCTAGGTTCCAATGCTGAAATTCCAATTTTCTGCCAGATTGTTCTGCCTAACTATTCACTAGAAATCTGAATTAACGTTGCCAAGACCAGCTTTATTATATTCCCCTCAAAACAATATTCTTACACCAACAACACATTTCTGTTACTTAAAGTACTATTCTACCTTTATAACAAGCCTGAAATGTGGGAGTCATTGGGAGTCATTACTCCACCTCTCTCTCCTTTATGCCCAAATCATTGGTCAAATATGACAACCTTTACAGTTGTCCCCAACTCTGGCTATTTTTACCTCCACAATTGTAGTAAGATCCTTGTCATCTTCTCTCTAGATGGGCAGTTTTCAAAATGGTCAGAATATACTAAAAAGGGTAATATGTCAATAAATTAGGGCATTTGTATTATTTCCATTTTTTTTTTTTTTTTAAGGAGTCTTGCTCTGTCACCCAGGCTGGAGTGCAGTGGTGAGATCTTGGCTCACTGCAGACTCTGCCTCCTGGGTTCTAGTGTTTCTCCTGTCTCAGTCTCCTGGGTAGCTGGGATTACAGTCGCATGCCACCACGTCCAGCTAATTTTTGTATATATATATTTTCTTTTTTTAGTAGAGATGGGGTTTTGCCATGTTGGCCCGGCTGGTCTCAAACTCCTGAACTCAGGTGATCTGCCTGCCTTGGCTTCCCAAAGTGCTGGGATTACAGGGGTGAGCCACCATGACTGGCCAAATGTTTTATAATATCTATAAGATAGATAGATGATAGACAGATAGATAGATAGATAATAGATAGATAGATAGATAGATAGATAGATGATAGATTAGATAGATGGATAGATGATAGATTAGATAGATAGATAGATAGGTGATAGATTAGATAGATAGATAGATAGATAGATAGATAGATAGATAGATAGATAGATAGATATTATAAACAAACAACCCAATATCGTAGTGCAGTAGTGTGTGTTCCAAATTGGTGTGTTTTTTCTTTTTCTTTTTCTAGAAAAAGGTCTTGCTGTCTCAATAAGATTGGAATGCAGTGGGGTCACCATAGCTCACTGTAGCCTCAAACTCCTGGGCTCAAGTGATTCTCCTGCCTCAGCCTCCCAACTAGCTGGGACTGCAGGCACATGCCACTATACCCACCTAATCATTTAAATTCTTGTAGAGACAAGGTCCAACTATGTAACCCAGGCTGGTCTTGAACTTCTGGCCTCAAGTGATCCTCCTGCCTCGTCCTCCCAAAGTGCTGGGATTACAGGCACAAGCCACCGTGCCTAGTGTGCTTCAAATTTCTCTCATGAGAGATGCACAATCAAAAAGTTTTGGACACTCCTTCACAAGAATATTTCAATAGCCTCCTGAAGTAATTAGCTTTCTTACCTTCAGTGTCTCTCCTGTACCTCATGTACACATAACTGCCAAATAAAAGGTTCCTAGGAATAACAATGGTCACCTTGCTGTCTGAACAAAGCTGTTTAATGTCTTTTACTTGCCACCGCAGTGAAACTCACCTCAATAACATGACCCTCAAGGCAATCACAAGCCGACCATCCCCTCCTCCAAACATGCACCCATGAAACACACTATTTTTCCAGGCATGATTTTCACTTTTCATTTTCGTAATCCCATCATCCCAATGAAATGTAACCACCTATCCTCACCTAAAACATACCAAGTGCCTCTATATAATATATTTTGCCATTATAATAGTATATTTGTTTGAGTTCTCTATAGATCTTTGAGATAAGGTCTATGATAATAAACCTAATAAAAGTCAGGTCCTCATACAAAAGCCTCTCAAGTCATATCTATGGAAACTCACTCCAGCAGCCAAAATTTGGTCATGGAAATCCACTCTGCTTTCCTGTGTTTAGGGACATTAAAGGAAATCTCATTTCTAACCCGTGGAAACTCATCTCAACTTCTTCTACTAATGCCCAGTTCTCCTGTGCTCATCACTGCTCCGGAGTTCCCTGCAAACCAAATCCCCAACAACCCTCTCTGCTTTAGCTCAGGAAGCATGCCTTTCTCTCTCTCCACTCCTCACTGTTTCTCATCTTCATACTATGTAGCTTCTTTGTGTAAACAAAACTACATAATGGTAAGAACTTTTCCTTGTCTGATGTCCTTCAGCACTTAGTCTGGAAAAAAATAGAACTTCTCTTAGAGGATGACAGTCAGAAACGGAGGAAGATGTACCTAGTCTGGGTGGTGATTTGGGGATAATGGAGACAAGAACCCTTATACACTAGCATAAGTGATTTCCCTCCTCTACTCTCCCTCCTGATAGACTTTCAGTTATGAAAACTTGTTCATTTCCTGATGTTGAAATCCTATTCATTTTTAAGATACGATCATATTTCATTGGCTCTGTGATTTTTCTATAACCAGAATTGATTTATTTCCTCCCAATGCCCATTGTCCTTGACCACTAATACATTTATGACACATAGGCTTTCATTATAGTTACCATCCTATCCAAATTTTCCTAAAGGATTGGTAACTCTTAAGTCAGGGATTAAACCCTTATCTTTAAAACCACCATGGTATCTGTCCAAGAACATTGCAAATAACAGATAAATGTTAACATATGAAAGAAACACCAAATGTTGTCATGACATTGTCTTCAGCAAAGAGTCTCTTGAACATAAACTGTTATATCTTCTTCTTTGTCTTTTTCTTTTGGACAGGGTATTACTCAATGCTATTATTAGTGGTATTTGGTAATACTGTGCATAGTTTGCCTATTTAGAGGACATTTATCTAAATAAACATATACATTGCAATAATTATTGTGACAATACTTATGATTACTTCAAGTTGAGATAAAGAATGTTGTATCCTCAAACATACCACTTTAGTGAGGGATGTTGATAATGGAAGAAGTTATGCATGTATGGGAGCAAGGGGCATATGGGAAATTTCTGTACTTCACAATTTTACTATGAACACAATAATGCATGAAAAAATGACATCGAAAAAATGTTATATTCTGACTTTAAAGCTATTATTTTAAAGAGGTACAAACTTAAAAAGAGCAGGGAATAGGTTCAGATTTTGTCATTATAATAGTATATTTAACATTCAAAAGAAATAGTAATGAAATCAGTAAAACATGATTTTTGCAAAAATTGTGTAAGATTCTTAAAAGTTATGATACAATGAGATAGTTACAAAAAGGAAATCTAACAGACTTTCCTTGCTTGTGGGGTTTCAGAACTGCATCAATTAAATCATTCATTTATTCCAAAAATATTTATTGATTATTTAATACTTACCATGTCTTATATTGTAAGAACCTATAGTAAATTACAGGTGACTGAGAAGTCTATTTTTCAAAGTGTTAAAAAAAAATTAGAGTCAGTGAAACAATTTAGTAATTTAAAGTAGACTAGGCCGGGCATGGTGGCTCACACCTGTAATCCCAGCACTTTGGGAGGCCGAGGTGGGTGGATCACAAAGTCAGGAGTTCGAGACCAACCTGGCCAACATGCTGAAACTCTACGAAAAATACAAAAAATAGCCGGGCGTGGTGGCACATGCCTATAATTCCAGCTACTCAGGAGGCTCAGGCAGGACAATCACTTGAACCCGGGAGGCAGAGGTTGCAATGAGCCGAGATTGTGCCACTGCACTCCAGCCTGGGTGACAGAGCGAGACTCCATCTAAAAAATACTACTACTAATAAAGTAGACTATAAACATATAATTATTCACGCACTCAAAAGTCACAATTTATTGAGTGCTGTGTGATAAGCAATTGGCTAGGCTAGATGCTGGTAATAAAAGATAAGGAGAACACAGACTAGATCCTAAAGGAACTCACAATCCTGTGCTACAAGAGATGTATTCACAATGTGCAAAGAAAACATAAAGAAACCCCTAACTCTGCCCAGAGATGAGACAGAGAACTCACTCAAGACTTAACCTTTAAATGGTGTCATGATTGATAGGCAGTGCCTGTCTTGGTGTAGAAATAAAAGAAAGAAATTGCAGCAAGATGCAACTCAAGGAGCTGAAGTCAAGAGGAATGAGAAAGCATGCCAGTCCTCATGAACAAAAAGGCTGTTAACCTGGAACAGAGCACAAACATAGGCGTATGGCAGAGACTGAACCGTGAAGGGTCTTATAGCCACACAAGGAGTCTGATCTTTAACAAATCCTGAATGAATGGAGCCCTTCATGTGTCTTAAGAAAATCAGTAGCATACTCACATTTATATTTTAGACAAATAAATAAAGGTCAGGGAAATGTTTAGATATTAGAATCAGCTGAACTTAGTTACAAATAATATAGTATGAGGTAAAGATGACAAAGAAAGAGAAGATAAAGTGAAAATTCATTTCCAAGTGTCATGCTTGGGTGACCAAGGGGTTTATGGAGACAGAGAATATATCATGGTGAGACTGATAAAATATCTAATTTGTACTTGAATATTGTTTCCAAGTCTAAATCATACATATAGTCTCCTCCTGAAGATTTACATATTGGCAAGTAAAGGAAAATTAAGGCCAACTCAAGATCATAGATATGATTTAAATTGTATTCCCTGGTTCATTACTTATATTACATACTTGTATAAATTAATAAAAGATTTCCTTCCTTAAACAAACCTGATACAATACAATTGGGATTTATGTAAAGGATTAATGTTACTCTTTTCCCTTTTAAAAAATGACATATTTGCCTCAAAAAGAAATTTTCTTTAGTGTTACCTTAAATAGAATGTTCTCTAATGATTTTAAAGTAAGATTACGAGTAAATAAAATAGATAAATATATACGTATTAATGAATAGGACAGCTGGTTTTCAGCAGAACAGGGGTACTGGCTGTTCACTGCTCATGGCTGCTGTGACGGGTCAGTGGTCACGCTGCATGGTTGTGGATACGATGAATGTCACCACTACCTATTGCACAAAGTAGGAAAGAGCTGAGGATAATTAATGTGACACTCGAATTTAACAAAAACCTCTAAAAGGATCAAATAGCACTCTGAAAATGAGTTAACAAATCAGAAAAAAAAATACGTAACTGTGTCTAAATGTTTTTTCTATTAAAAAAGGAAAAAAAATGAGCTGTTGAAGAATTATTTATGCTTTAGTTTATTAAAATATCAGTAAATAGAATTGCACTGTCTTTCTTTTAAGGATTTGTCTGTCTTTTGTGCCCTTTGATAATTAATTTTATTTGGTTTTCAAGATAATTATATAACTTGTCTTAATTCAAACTGCAACAACAAGCTAAGGAAAAGTTAGGGGGTTTCTGTAAAGAGTCTCTTTCTAAGTATCCAAAAGCCAGACTTTCACGCCTGCCTATGTAGCAGTAGTAAGAACTCAACAAGGCTTCTAGCTGCATGACAAATATAATTCCTGGAATTTTCCTTCTTAAGTATTCACATAATCACCCTTTCAAATGTAACAAGCATTTTAAATTCTTGTAAAGTCAGAGAGAATTCTTAAAGGAATAGCTACTACTCAAACAATTTTGACATGTAAACACCTACAGACTTTCATATCTAAAGATAAAAACCTAAGAGAGTGTGTCAAGAAGGATTGCCTAAAATCAAACCCTAAGACAAGGATTCTCATGAAAGTGATTTATAGTATTTAGGAGGCAGAGTGTGTGAAGTAGGATAGGGCAGGAAAGGATGAACAAGGATGTGGTCTTGGTTGGAGCCTCACTTCAGCCTGACCTGGGCACTCAGGAGTACATATTAAACCTAGTTGGTTGTTCTTTGACACAAGGGACCAGTTCTTTGTACTCTCGTATTGTCGAATCACAGCTAATGCCCATTAAAGTGAGTGGAGGTAGAGGTGGGTGTTATATCCAGGCACACTAGCTCTCACTGGGCCAAAGGGATGAGTGCATAAGCCTAGTGAAAGCAAACTGGATGAGACAACAACAATATCTACTGCAGAGGTATATTTTTTAAATGTCTTGGAGAAAGAAATATCTTGCACAAGGTCCAGGTGATACTTGGACTGATGACAGCAACACAGTGCAGAGAAGAGAAAGTAAATAGAGGCATGCCTTCTCCTTTGATTGCACATTGCTTTTATTATGCTTCGCTGATACTGCACTTTTTACACATTGAAGGTTTGTGGCCTCCTGAAGCTAGCAAGCCTGTTGGTCCATTTTTACAACACCATGAGCTAGCTTCCTGTCTCTGTGTTACATTTAGGTAATTCTTGCACTATTTAACCTTTTCATTGTTATTGTATATGTTAGGGTTATCTGTGATCAGTCATCTTTGCTGTTACTATTGTAATTGCTTTGGGGCACCATGAACTGCATTGCTACAAGACAGTGAAATTAATCATTAAAATGTTGTGTGTGTTCCAACTGCTTCACCAGCTGGCTGTTCCCTCATCTCACTCCCTCTCCCAAAGACTCCCTATTCCCTAAGACAAAACAATTTTGAAATTAGGTCAATTAATAATCCCACAATGGCCTCCAAATGTTTAAGTGAAAAGAAGAGTTACACGTCTCTCACATTAAATTAAAAGCTGGAAATGATTAAATTTAGTGAGGAAGGTATTTTGAAAGCTGAGATAGGCCAAAAGATAGGCCTCTTGTGCCAAATAGTTAGCCAAGTTGTGATGCAAAGGAAAAGTTCTTGAAGAAAATTAGAAGTGCTACTCCAGTGAAAACATGAATGATAAGAAAACGAAACAGCCTTATTGTTAATATGGAGAAAATGTGAGTGGCCTGGACAGAAGATTAAACCAACCACAACATTCCCTTAAAGCCAAAGCCTAATCCAAAACAAGGACCTAACTTCAATTCTATGAAGGCTAGGAGAGGTGAGAAAGCTTCAGAAGAAAAGTTGGAAGCCAGCACAGGTTAGTTAATGAGATTTAGGGAAAGAATCTCCATAATATGAAAGTGCAAGATGAAGCAAGTGCTGATGGAGAAGCTGAAGCAAGTTATCCAAAAAATCTAGGTAAGATTATTGAAGAAGGTGGTTGCACTAAACAATAGATGTTCAGTATAGGTAAAACAGGCTTGTAAGGAAGAAGATCCCATCTAGGACTTTCTTAACTAGAGAAGAGATGCCAATGACTGGCTGAAAAACATCAAAGGACAGACTAACTCTCTTGTTACGGGCTAATGCAGCTGGTGACTTTAATTGAAGCCAGTGCTCATTTACCATTTAGAAAACCCGGGAGCCCTTATGCATGATATTAAATCTATCTTTGCCTGTGCTTTGTAAAACATGGTTTACTGAGGATGTTAAGCCTACAGTTGAGACCTACTGCTCAGAAAATAAAAGATTATTTCAAAACATTACTGTTCACCGACAATGCACCTTGTTACCCAGGAGCTCTGATGGAGATGTACAAGGGTTTAATGTTGTTTTCATACCTGCTAACACAACATCCATTCTGCAGCCCATGATCTAGGAACAATTTCAATTTTCGAGTCTTAGTTTTTAACAAATATATTTCATAAGGCAATAACCAGCATACATAGTGATTCCTCTGATGGATCTTGGCAAAGTAACTTTAAAAAGCTATCTGGAAAGGATTCACCATCCTAGATGTTTAAGAACATTCATTAAGAACATTCATAATTCATGGGAAAAAGTCAAAGTATCAATATTAACAGGGATTTGGAAGAAGTTAAAGCCAACTCTTATGAATGACTTTGAGAGGTTCAAGACTTCAGTGGAGAAAGTCACTGCAGATGTGGTGGAAATAGCAAGAGAACTGGAATGAGAAGTGAAGCCTGAAGATGTGACTGAATTGCTGCAATCTCATGATAGAAGTTGAACAGATGAGGAATTGCTTCTTATGGAGGAGGGAAAAAAAGTGGTTTCTTTTTTTGGAAACTACTGTTGAAGATGCTGTGAACATTGTTGAAATGACAACAAAGCATTTAGGATATTCCATAAACTTTATTGACAAAGCAGCAGCTGTGTTTGAAAGGATTAATTCCAAATATTAAAGAAGTTCTATTGAAGACAAAATGCTTTCAAACAGCATTGCATGCTACAGAGAAATCTTTCATTAAAGGAAGAATCAATTGATGCAGCAAACTTCACTGTTGTCTTATTCTAAGAAATTGCCACACCTTGAACTTCAGCAACCACCACCCTGACAGCAGCCATCAACAGGTAGGCAAGACCTCCTACCAATGAAAAGATTAAAGCTTTCTGAAGGCTCAGACGAGTGTTAGCAATTTTTAGGAATAAAGTATTTTTAAAATTAAGTTATATACATTTGTTAGCCATAATACCATAGCACACTTAATAGAATATAGCATAGTATAAACATAATTTTTATATGCATGGGAAATCAAAAATTTTGTCTGATTTGCTTTATTGCAATATTTGCTGTACTGCTATGGTCTGAAACTGAACCTGCAATATCTCTGAGGTATGCTTGTACTAAAACTAGATGTACACATACCGCTAAAAGTTGTTACACACGGAAGTGTAATTTAATCATAAACTCCACTAAGGTTATTATAGTACTTATGCTTTAGGAAGCTGTGATCAGTAGAATTCTAGGAAGGTCCCATGATCCCCACTCCCTAGCATTAAGCACTGTATAATCTGAGTCTGGGTGGGACTTGTGATTCGCTTCTAGCCAAACAAATATGGCAGAGCTGATAAGATGCCACTCCCAAGATTATGTTTTATTATGTAAGACTTCATCTTAGCCAACTGAAGATAAAGGCTCTCCTGCTTGACATGAGGAAGCAAACACCCGTGCATGAACTGCCAAATGAGAGTCCACATGGATATGGCAAGTAACTGATTTTTCTTTAGGATTTGAGGACAGCTTCCAGCCAACACGCTGCAAAAGACCAGTGCCCTCAGTCATACAGTGCAGGAAAATGAATTCTGCTCACAACTTGAATGTGCTTGAAAGCAGATTCTCCCTGATCAAGCCTGTAAATAAGAACACACCACAGCTGAAAGGTTGATTGCAGATCCTGAAACAGAGAACCCAGTGAAGCCATGCCTGCACCGACTCCTGATGTACAGAAACCATGAGATAATGAAGATATATTGTGTTAAGCTGCTGCCAAATTTTGGGTAATGTGTTATGTAGCAATGGAGAACTAACATAGGTGTGTATTTTAAAACCAAATATTCTATGCTCTCACTTATAAATGGGAGCTAAGATGTGAGGACACAAAGGCATAAGAATGACATAATGGACTCTGAGGACTTGGGAAGGGTGGGACGGGGTGAGGCATAAAAAACTACACATTGGGTTCAGTGTATGCTACTCAGGTGAGGGGTGCACCAAAATCTCAGAAATCACTGCTAAAGTACTCATCCATGTAACCAAACACCACATGTTGTAGTTCTTTAAATGTTTGGTAGTTTTAAGCAGCGAAACCATTGGTTCCCAGGGTTTTATTTTCTGGGAGAATTTTCATTATGGCTTCAATCTTGTTACTTCTTATTGGCCTGTGTAAGTTTTGGATTTATTCGTGTTTCAATCTTTGTAGGTGGTATGTGTCTAGAAATGTATCCATTTCTTCAGGATGGTTGACTAAAGACATTTTGTACTAGCTACCTCCTCTAAAAAGAACTAAAATAGCAAGTAGATAATCACACTTTGAAGATGTCATCCAAGAGAAAACACTGGAGTTCAAAAGGAAATGAATAGGCAATACCTAAGCAAGGAAAGAAAAAGAATCAAGGCAGTCTGCTCAACCTCGTTCAGCTGGGAGCCAAGAGAGACTCCCCAACACAAGGAAAGGGTAAATGAAAGATTCTCAGTTGTCCACATTTTCACCATAGACTTCTGCAATTCTAGCCACAAGAGAGCCCTCTACCCTCACAGATTCTGAAACTAATAGAGGGTGTGGCTGGGAGATTTTATTATGTCATTGCCCCAGGAAGGATGCTCACACTGGGTGTCTGATATTTCTTGAGACCTAAGCTGCTACAGCAAAGTGCCATTTTATAACTCCATTTCCAACAGATGGTGCACTGTCCTGGAGCCCCACAATGCTGCCGCTGAGATGCAAGAGAAGCACAGGCTGCTGCTCCTGGGGCTTATGAAAAAGTGACCCCAGGTTATCCTACGCAGGGCAGAGACACACCTGAAACACGGACTGCTGTTTTTAGAACTGAGGTGTCAGTGAGACACAATTCTAAAGCCCTTTCCCCCAACAGACTATGCACTGTCTTGAATTCCAGCAATGCTGTGACTGAGGTGCAAGAGAAGAGCTGACTATTAACTCCAGGGCTTAGGCATGACAGACTGTGACTGCCACACCCTCAGATGAGGTATAAGTGGTATGCATACTTCTCACCTACCAGCCTACACTTCTGTCACTGAAGTGGGCACTGCCCCAGGGAAGGGCACTGCACAGCTGCTATTTCCATCAACCTGAGAATTTCACTGATGGCCTAGGGATTACCTGACTTCTTCCTACCACAGCCAGCAGCTACACACACCATCACATGCCTGAAGACAAGCCAACAAAGCCCAACTTTGCCCCTCTCCCCACTTATGCCAGTGTGCACAGTCCAGAAGCCAGGTGATTGCCCAGCCAAGTCAATCATTGTTGGCATCTGAACACTCCTCCTGAGAAACTGAGGTTGGGCCTATCCACTCAGCCACTACTACCACAACAGTCATCTACCTGCACATGCTACCTGCAGGCCTGGAGACTGGCTGCCCAAAACCCACTGTAGCCACTGCCAACAGCAGCACTGCTCAGAACCAAAAGGGTCATCCTGCCACTGCCACTGTGATCACCCACACCACACCATCTGAACAGGGGCCCAATAACCCACCAAACTGCAAAGGTTATGGCTGCCATTACCAAGCATCAGAGTAAGCCACTTGGAGATTCAAGAATCAACCAACTTGGGTACGATAACACTAGTGTCAGTGTAAACCACCCTGAGCCCAAAAGACAGCTCACTGCTGCAACTACTGAAACCTGAACTCTGGCCTACCTAGCATCCTAATTCCCACAAAACTTCACCACAGCCTCCACTAATAACTGCACTCTAAGCCACTGAGGAAATCTCAGATACCACTGACAATTTTTACAGCCAAAGAAATTGTACAGAGACTACATTACTGCACATAACAAAAATCAAAGGCAAAGTGACCCACCCAACCAACATCACAGATAGATCTTTAGGAAAAAGTCCTCTCCTATGAAAGCAAACTCAAAATGTTGAAAGAAGTGACTGATGTACCAGATGCAATAGAAGTCAGAAAAACAATTCAGGATGTGATGAGAAATTTAACAAAGAGATAGATATCATAAAATAAAAACAAAAAAATTCTGGAACTGAAGAATTCACTGAAGGAAATGTGAAATGCATTCAAAAGTTTCAACAATAGACTGGATAAAGCAGAGAAAGAATCTCAAAACCTGAAGACAAATCTTTTGAAATAATCCAGTTAGCCAACAATAAGGAGGACAGGCATGGTGGCTCATGCCTATAATCCTAGCACTGTGGGAGGCTGAAGAGAAAGGATTGCTTGAGCTCAGGAGTTGGAGGATAGCCTGGGAAAAATAGTAAGACTCTGTCTCTACAAAAAAAAAAAAAATTAAGTTATACAGACATGGTGGCACATGACTGTAGTCCCAGCTACTCAGAAGGCTGAGGCAGGAGGATCACTGGAGCCCAGAAGTTCAAGGCTACAGTGAGCAATGATCATGCCACTACACTTCTGCCTGGGTGACAGAGTGAGTTTCTGTATCAGCAAAAATAATAATAATAATAATAAATAAATGAGAAAAAAAGAATAAATAAAACTTTTGTGATATATGGAACATCATGAAGTGACCAAATGTATGAATTATCAGTATCTCAGAAGGAAAAGAGAGCACAAAATAATTATAAAACCTATTTAATAATAGATGAAACTTCCCAAGTCTGGCAAGAGATTAAGACACCCAGATACAGAAGGGGCAACAGTCCCCAAACAGATATAATGTAAAAGGCCTCCACTTCACATTACAGTCAAAATATTTAAAGTTAATAAGAAAGAAAGAACTGTAAAAACAGAAAGAGAAAAATATCATCTATAAAGGAACCTCCATCAGACTAACAGTAGATTTCTCAGCAGAAACCTTACAGGACAGGAGAAAATGGAATGACATATTTACTGTGCTGAAAGAAGAAAAAAAAACTGCTGATCAATTATACTACATCCAGCAAAGTTACCTTTCATAAGTGAAAGATAAAGTCTTTTCCAGACAAACAAATGCTCAGAAAATTCATCATCACTAGACCAGTCCTAAAAGAAATGCACAAGAGAGGCTTAAATCTGGAAGCTAAAGGATAACATTTGCCAACATAAAAACACACACAAGTATAAAACTCAATAGTAAAGGAAACACACAAATGAGAAAGAGAAAGAGACATAAATGACACAACTACAGGTCATTACCAATACAAAATGACAAATAATAAGAGAAAAAAACAAAAAAAAATATACAAAACAACCAAAATTAATTAACAGTATGACTGGGAGAAAACCTCACATATTAATAATTACCTTAAATGTAAATGGATTATATTCTCCACTTAAAAGATATACTGGCTGAATGGATAAGAAAACATAATCCAACTAATCCCACTATATGGTGCCTATAAGAAATGCACTTTCTCTGTAAATACACATATAAACTCAAAGTAAAAGGATGAAAAAAGGTATTTTATGTGAAAGAAAAGCAAAGTGAGCAAGAGAAGCTATACTTATATGGAACAAACTTTAAGCCAAAAATAGAAAAAAAATTTAAAAAAAATAAGGAAGGTCATTATAAAATGATGAAGTGATAAATCCAGCAAAATAAAATAGCAATTCTAAATATATATGCAACAAACCCTGGAGCACTCAGATGCATAAGAAAATATTACTAGATCTAAAAAGAGAGATAGACTCCAATACCCTCATTCTATGCATTAGATAGAACATTTAGATACAAAATCAAAAAAACATTGGATTAAAACTGGACTTTGGACCAAATGGACCTAATAGACATTTACAAAACATTTTATCCTACTGCAGAATACACATCATTCTCATCAGCACATATAACATTATTCAAGATAGATAATATGTCAGGCCACACAACAAGTCTATGTTTATTTTTTAAATAATTTTTTTAAAAAGTATTTTTTAAAAATAGAAATCATATTAAATATCTTCTCAGATCACAATGCAATAAAACTAGAAATCAATACTAACAGGAACACTGGAAACTATACAACTACACAGAAATTAAACATGATCCTGAATGACAATTGGGTCATGAGGAATTTAAAACGGAAATCAAAAAAATTCCTGAAACAAGTGAAAATAGAAATACAATATACCAACACCTGTGGGATACAGTAAAAGCTGTAATATAAGAAATTTATAGCAATAAACACCTACATCCAAAGAATGGAGAGAGGTAAAATAAACAATCTAACATTGCCACTCAAAGAACTAAAAAAGCAAGAACATACCAAACCAAAAATTAGCAGAATAAAAAAATAATAAAAATCAGATTAAAATTATACAAAAATAAGGAATAAAAAATCAATGAAACACAAAGTTGGTTATTTAAGCGATAAACAAACTTTATAAGCCACCAGCTAGACTAACCAAGGAAATAAGAGAGAAGACAAAGAGATCAAAAATGAGACATTAATACTACAGAAATACAACAGCTCATCAGAGACAATTATGAACAACTAAATGCTAACAAATTAGAAAACCTAGAGGAAATACATAAATTCCTGGATGCATACAACCTACCAAGATTGAATCAGGAATAAATAGAAAACTTGAACAGACCAATAATTAGTAGTATTGAAATAGTAATTTAAAAATCTCCCAACAAAGAAAAGCCCGGGACCAGATAGATTCACTGCCTTTTCTAATATACATATAAACACCAATCATCCCCAAACTATTCCAAAATATTAAAGAGGAGGGAACTCTTCCTAATTAATTCCATGAAGCCAATATTACCTTCATACCAAAACCAGAGAAGGACACAGCAACAACAACAACAAAAACTACAGGCCAATATCCCTGATAAACATAGATGCAAAAATCCTCAACAGTATACTAGCAAACCAAATTCAACAACACATCAAAAAGATAATACATCACAATCAAGTGAGATTTATGTGAGGAATGCAACAATAGTTTAACATACACATATCAATAAATGTGGCATGGCACATCAGCAGAATGAAAGAAAAAAACCATATGATTATCTCAATAGGCACAGCAAAAGCATTTGATAAACTTCCATATCTTTCATGATAACAACTCTCAACAAACTAGGCATAGAAATAACAGACCTCGAAATAATAAAGGTTATGTATGACAAACCCACAGTCAACTTTAAACTAAATAAGGAAAAGTTGAAACCATTTACCCTAATTACTGGAACAAGACAAGGATGCCCATTTTAAACATCCCCATTCAATATAGTACTAAAAGTCTTAGCTAAAACAATTAGGCAAGAAAAAGAAAAAAACCATGCAGACTGGAACAAAGGAAGTCAAATCATCTCTATTTGCAACAAATTTAATAAAGCTGCAGAACACTTACAATCAATATACAATAATTAGTAGCATTTCTATACACAATCATAAAACAGACAAAAAAATCAGCAAGGCAATCCCACTTACAATAGGTAAGAAAAAATAACGTAGGAATAAATTTAACCAAGGTGAAAGATCTCTATAAGGAAAACTACAAAATACTCATGAAAAACACTGAAGAGGACACAAACAAATGGAAAGCTATCCCATGCTCATGAATCAGAAGAATTAATATTATTAAAATGATCATACTGCTTCAAGCAGTATACAGCTACAATGCAATTTTATCAAAATAGCAATGTCATTTTCCCCAAAATATAAAAAATAATCCTATAATTCATATGGAACAAAAAAGGAGCCCAAAGAGCCAGAACAATCCTAAGCAAAAAGAACAAAGCTGAAGGTATCACACTACTTGACTTCAAAATATATTACAAAGTGATAGCAACCAAAACAGCATGGTATTAGTATAATAATGGACACAGAATATAGAACCAATGAAACAGAATATAGAACCCAGAAATAAAATCACATATTTACAGCCAACTGATTTTTGACAAAGGCACCAAGAATATATACTAGGGAAAATACACCTTTTTAACTAAATTGTCCTGGGAAAGTTGTATTGCAATATGCAGAAGAATGAAATTGGACTCCTATCGTCAACATACAAAAATCAACTCTAGATACATTAAAGACTCAAATGTAAGACCCGAATCTGTAAAAATTCTAGAAGAAATTATAATGAAAACACTTCAGGACATTGGTCTATGCAAAAAAAAATTTACAGCTAAGACCTCAAAAGCATAGCAAACTACAACATAAATAGACAAAGAAGACTATATTAACTAAAGAACTTCTCTATAGCAAGAAAAAAAAACATTAACAGTGACGTACTAATCTGTTGAATGGAACAAAATGTTTGCAAATTATTCAACCAGCAAAGGACTAATATCTAGAATATGCAGGGAACTCAAACAACAGCAAACAATTTTTAAGTGGACAAAGGACATGAATAGACATTTCTTAAAAGAAGACATACAAATAGCCAACAAGTATATGAACAAATGCTCAACATACTAATCATCAGGGAAACACAAATCAAAACCACAATGAAGTATTATCTTACCTCAGTCAGAATGCCTATTATTAAAAAGCCAAAAAAATATATAACATACTGGTGCTGATGTGGAGAAAACTCTTATAAACTGTTGGTGGGAATCTAAGTTAGTACAACCACTATGGAAAACGGTATGGAGATTTATCAAAGAACTAAAATTACAACTACCATAGCTCCAGCAATCACACTACTGGTTATCTATTCAAAGGAAAACAAATCGATACATCAAAGGGATTCCTGCACTGGCATGTTTATTGCAACACTATTCACAATAGCAAAGACATGGAATCAACCTAAATGTCCATCAGTGGATGAATGGATAAAGAAAATGTGGTACATATACATAATGGAATACTATTCAGCCATTTAAAAAATAATGAAATCATGTTATTTGCAGCAACATGAATGAAACTAGGGTTATTATGTTAAGTGAAATAATCAAGTCATAGAAAGAAAACTATCACATATTCTCACTCATTTTTATGAGTTTAAAAAAGTTGATTTCACAAAAATAGAGAGTTGAATGATAGATACCATATGCTGGGAAGTGTGGTTGGATGGGATGAAGACAGGTAGGTTAACACATACAAACAAACAGTTAAATGAAAGGTAAAAGTTCTATCATTCAACAGCAAAGTGAGTGACTATAGCTAATAACAATGTATTGTATATTTTAAACTAGCTAGAAGAGAGAACTTGAATTTTTCTTAACACATAGAGATGAGAAATAACTCAAAATGATGTACACCTCAAATACCCTGACTTCATAATTACATATTTTATGCACGTAACAAAACAACATGTACTTTATAAATATGTAAAATATTATGAATTTATAATAAAACAAAAACACATGGCTCCCACTAGAACAGTTACAAAAGCAAAATAAAATTCAAAAATTATCTGTTTAAAGGTATTAGAGAGCTGCAAAAGCTTTGAGGATGACAGGAGTGTAGGTATCAGAAGGCAGAAAAACAAAAAAGTGAGTTGACACACTACAACCCTGATTCCTCTGGTGCCATTTACTGATTCTGCGCACACATAAGAGGATATCTACATAGTAAAAGTAACTCTTAACACAATATTGTAAAATCAATTCTAGATTGTTTAATATGAATTATGGAAAGTAAAAGGGAAAGCTTTTAGAAGAAAACATAGGAGACAAAATTCATGACTTTGGGTTAGGCAAAAATTTATTAATTAAATAAGGTACAAAACATACTAAGCATAAAGAATAAATTATAAGAAAAACTACATTAAAATTAAGTATTATTATTAACTATACCATGCCACTGAAACAGTAAAGAAATCCTCTCAGTCCATAAGCAATAGAATCAAACCTGTAGATGAACGGGCAAAAGACTTTAACAGACATTTGACAAAAGAGGATATACGAATGAACCGTGAAATATGAAAATGTGCTCCATTTCATGACATCGGGGAAATGGAAATTAAAACCAAAAGTCAATGTCACCAAAATGGCTAAAATTAAAAAGTAAACAAAACTAAGTGTGGAAGGCAGAATTCTAAGATCCATGAGTTCAGCATCTTTGTATCTATGGACTTTGTGTAATCCCCAACCTTAAAGTATGGGCAGCATCTGTAAATTGGTTCCAATACAATATGACAAAAGTGAATGGATTGTGCGTAGATAATTAAGGTCTCTAATCTGTTTACTTTAAGTTAATAGAAAAGATTATTCTGATTTCTTTGAGCAGTGTTTTGTAATTCTCATTGCAAATATCTTTTACCTCCCTAGTTAGTTGTGTTCCCAGGTATTTTCTTCCTTTTGTGGCAATTGTGAATGGGATTGCCTTTCTGATTTGGCTCTTGATTTGACTGTTGTTGGTGTATAGGAATGATAGTGATTTTTGTATATTGGCTTTGTATCTTTCAACTTTGCCGAAGTTGTTTATCAGCTCGAGGAGCTCTTGGGCCGAGACTGTAGGGTTTTCTAGATAAGAATCCTGTCTGCAAATAGAGATAGCTTGACTTCCTCTCTTCCTGTTTGGATATCCTTTATTTCTTTCTCTTGCCTGATTGCTCTGGCTAGGACTGCCAATACTATATTGAACAGAAATGGTGAGAGAGGGCATCCTTGTCTTGTGTTGGTTTTCAAGGGGGAATGCTTCCAGCTTTTGCCCATTCAGTATAATGCTGGCTGTGGGTCTGTCATAGATGGCTCTTATTATTGTGAGTCATGTTCCTTCAATACCTGTTTTATTGAGAGTTTTTAACATGAAGGGTGTTGAATTTTATCAAAAGCCTTTTCTGTGTTTATTGGCATAATCATGTGGTTTTTGTCTTTAATTCTATTTATGTGACAAATCACATTTATTGATTTGCATGTATTGAACCAACCTTGCATCCCAAGGATGAAGACTACTTGATGATGGTGGATTAGCTTTTTGATGTGCTGCTGGATTCAGTTTGCCAATATTTTGTTGAGGATTTTTCATTGATGTTCATCAAAGATAATGGCCTGAACTTTTCTTTTTTGGTTGTGTCTCTGTCAGATTTTGGTATCAAGTAGATGTTGGCCTCATAGAATGAGTTGGGGAGGAGTCTCTCCTCCTCAATTTTTTGGAATAGTTTCTGTAGGAATGCTACCATCCCTTCTCTGTACATCTTGTATAATTTGGCTCTGAATCCATTAGGTCCCCAGCTTTTTTTGGTTGGTAGGCTATTTATTACTGATTCAATTTTGGAGCTTGTTATTGCTCTGTTCAGAGAATCAATTTCTTCCTTGCTCAGTCTCAGGAGGGTGTATGTGTCCAGGAATTTAACCTTATCTTCTAGGTTTTCTAGTTTATGTGTGTAGAGGTGTTCAGAGTAGTTTCTGATCATTGTTTTTATTTCTGTGCGGTTGGTAGTAACATTGCTTTAGTCATTTCTAATTGTGTTTATTTGGATCTTCTCTCTTTTCTTCTTTATTAATCTAGCTACTGGCCTATCTATTGTATTATTTTTTTCAAAAAACCAAGTCCTGGTTTTGTTGATCTTTTGAATGGTTTTTCATGTCTCTATATCCTTTAATTCTGCTAGCTTTGGGGTGGATTTGTTCATGCTTCTCTAATTCTTTCAGCTGTGAAGTTAGGTTGTTAATTTAAGATCTTCCTAACATGTGATATGGGCATTTAGTGCTATAAATTTCCCTCTTAACAGAGAAGACACAAACAAATGGAAAAACATCCCAAGCTCACGGATAGGAAGAATCAGTATGACTAAAATGACTACACTTCCCAAAGTAATTATAGATTCAATGCTATTCCTACCAAACGACAAATGACATCCTTCAAAGAACTAGGAAAAACTGTTTTAAAATTCACATAGAACATAAAAGAGCCCAAATAGCTGAGGCAATCCTAAGCAAAAAGAGAAAAGCTGAAGGCATCTTGTTACCTGACTTCAAACTATACTACAAGGCTACTGTAACCAAAACCGCAAGGTACTGGTAAAAAACAGGCACATAGACCAATGGAAAGGAATAGACAGCCCAGAAATAAGGCCACACATCTACGATCTGATTTTTGACAAAGCTGACAAAAACAAGCGATGGTAAAAGACTCCCTGTTCAATAAATGGTGCTGAGATAACTGGCTAGCCATATGTGGAAGACTGAAACTGAACCCCTTCCTTTTACCATGTACAAAAATCAACTCAAGATGGATTTTAAAGACATAAATGTAAAACCCAAAACTATAAAAATCCTGGAAGATAACCTAGGCACTACCATCCTGGACATAGAAACAGGCAAAGATTTTATGACAAAGACACCAAAATTAATCACAACAAAAACAAAAATTGACGAATGGGATCTAATTAAACTTAAGAGCTTCTGCATAGCAAAAGAAACATCAACAGTGTAAACAGACAACTTACAGAATGGGAGAAAATATTTGCAAACTATGAGTCCAACAAAGGTCTAATATCCAGCATCTATAAGGAACTTAAACAAATTTACAAGAGAAAAATAACCCCATTAAAATGTGATCAAAGGACATGAACAGATACTTCTCAAAAGAAGACATACATGCGGCCAACAAGCATATGAAAAAAAGCTCTATATCACTGATCATTAGGAAATGCAAATCAAAACCACAATGAGACACCATCTCACGCCAGTCAGAATGGATATTAATAAAAAGCCAAAAAAATAACAGATGCCAGCAAGGTTGTGGAGAAAAGGGAACACTTATACATTATTAGTGGGAGTGTGAATTAGTTGAATCATTATGGAAAGCAGTATGGTGATTCTTCAAAGAGCTAAAAGCAGAACTACCATTTGACCCAGCAATCCCACTACTGGGTAAATACCCAGAGGAATATAAATCATTCTACCGTAAAGGTACATGCATGTGAATGTTCATTGCGGCACCATTCACAACAGCAAAGACATAGAATCACCTAAATGCCCATCAATGACAGATTAGATAAGGAAAAAGTGGTATATATACATCATGGGATACTATGCAGCCATAAAAAATGAGATTGTGTATTTTGTGGGAATGTGGATGGAGCTATTATCCTTAGCAAACTAATGCGGAACAGAAATCCAGATAACAACTGTTCTCACTTATAAATGGGAGCTAAATGATAAGAGCTTATGAACACAAAGGAAACAGCAGACACTGGGGTCCACTTGATCAGGGAGGGTGGGAGGAGGGATGGGAGCAGAAAAGATAACTGTGGGTACCGAGCTTAATACCCGGGCCATGAAATAATCTGTATAACAAATCCTAAAACACAGGTTCCCTATGCAACAAACCTTCACATGCACCCCCAAACCTAATTTTTTTTTTTTTTTGAGATGGAGTTTCACTCTTGTCATCCAGGCTGGAGTGCGATGGCATGTTCTTAGCTCACCGCAACCTCCACCTCTCAGGTTCAAGTGATTCTCCTGCCTCAGCCTCCCGAGTAGCTGGGATTACAGGCGCGCGCCACAACGCCTGGGCAATTTTTTTTTTGTATTTTTAGTAGAGACAGAATTTCACCATGTTGATAATTCTGTACGGATATGACCTAATCAGGTGAGCCTTTTGAAAAAGGTCTAGAAGTAAGAGCAAAAACTGTCTCCATTGATAGTTTTGAAGAAGCAAGCTTTGTCAAGAATTAGACAATTACAAAGAAATTAGCTCTGCCAAAAATGTAAAGAGCTTGGAAAGGAATCCATTCCTAGTCAAGCCCCTGGATGAGAACACAGCCTGTCCAACACCTTAATTTCAGCCTGTGAGTCCCTAAAAAAAGAATATAATTAAGCCATTCTCTAACTTCTGACCTATAGAAACTGTAAAATAACAAACATATATTGTTTTAAACCACTAAATTTGCAGTAATGTGTTACACAACAACTGCAAATGAATACATCAAGTAATTTGAAAGATGTGGAGAAACTGGGTCTCTCATATCAGGGACTGGTAAACCGATACAACCATTTTGGAAAACGATTTGGCAGTAGCTATTAATGCCAAACATATACATGAATGCTTTGACTCCACAGCTTAATTCCTAAGTATACATAAAACTCAAACCCATGCATATCCTTACCACAAAACATATACAACAATGTTCCTAAGAGTTCTGTTCGCAAAGCCAGTACTGAGACCTACCAATTATCTCTAATCTGCATAGGAGATATATAAATGTGTTATAGTAATCTACAGGAATGCTTTATAGCAATAAAA